>NC_000013.11:89586312-89889342 GCF_000001405.40 Homo sapiens | reverse complement strand
GGAAGCATTTTGAATGGGTGTTCCAGGATGGAGATGATTAGTAATAGTCCTGAAACTAGAAATAGCTTTAGCAACAGGGAGTGCAATTCATTCTGTTATGCCTATTCTTTTAAGTTTCTCCAGAAGCAAAAAAAAAAAAAAGAATTAAATGGTACAAAGGATGGAGACAGTAGATTCAAGTTGTCTCCTCCAGATCCCTTTTGCCAGGTCAGTTTATTTCTCTTCTAGCTGCTATTGAGTGCTGGCAGTTATTAACTCACAGTTGCTTCGGTTCTCCAGAGAACTGACCTAACTGGCACTGCCTTACAAAGAGTAGCATGCTTTCCTTCTTAAGAGCTGACCCACAGCCAATTATGAATTATAAGAGGTACAAACAACTATATCCATTGATTCAACTGAAGTACATTTTTATGTTGCAGAATCTACCCTTAGAGTAGCCTAAGCTTAGAGTTTAATGGAGAGCACATTTTCTCTATTCTGCTTCATTTCCCTCATTACAAGTTTTTCCTAAACAGGACTTAAAGCTGCATGTGCACTTCATTCCTTTTTTTTTTTTTTTTTTTTTTTTGAGACAGAGTCTCGCTCTGTTGCCCAGGCTGGAGTGCAGTGACCCAATCTACGCTCACTGCAAGCTCCACCTCCCGGGTTCACGCCGTTCTCCTGCCTCAGCCTCCTAAGTAGCTGGGACTACAGGCACCCACCACCAAGCCCAGCTAATTTTTTTGTATTTTTAGTAGAGACGGGGTTTCCCAGTGTTAGCCAGGATGGTCTCGATTTCCTGACCTCGTGTTCCACCCGCCTCAGCTTCCCAAAGTGCTGGGATTGCACTTCATTTCTTTTCCTTCACATATATACCCATAAAGCCTTAAAGTTTTATGTGCACTTCAATTTCTGACTCAGCCTCTACATCTAAGGCATCCACCACAAGACCACCTGTTATAAATGATCTTCTTACAGAGATATACAAAGATATTAAAGATCACATATTGTACCACTCTGTCATTATACATTAGTAAATTTTAGGTAATATAAGCAAGGTTGCAAAAGAGAAAGTAGCAAAGCCAGAAGTAGTACCTACTCTTCCAAGAAGCAATCTGCTTTTCATTTATTTAAAGAGTTTATGCATTTCTCTAGGCTACCTGAGGGGTAATTTGCTATGCATGAACAGGTAAACTATTACTTGCAAGAGGTGGTAAAGAGATATTAAACATACACTTCTCAAAACAGGAAAAATAACCTGAAATATTAAAGCTACTTCTCTAAAAGTTTTGCCTATTTCTCAGTGTTCTACTTACCTTTTGCTAGCTACAAAAATTTAGGCAGGTGATACTCAGAAACAATCAATAGTATATCTCCATTAAATCCTCTTTCCAAGGTCATACGATTTGACCCTCTTGGAGTTAATCTTTTCAATTCCACTAAGCTAAAAACGAAAAGTGATTTTGAATCTCTGAGGGCATACAACAACCAAGAACAAATTAAAGGGAGCCCTCCCACTGCAGCAGTGTCTTGTTTTTTTCAGAGTGTCTAAAACAAGAGAACTAAAGGATAGTCCCCCAGAGTAGCTTCTAAAAGAATATTCATAGATGTAGAAAAAAATACAACTTGCACAAACGTTAAATATCCAATCTATAATAATTAAATTTATGAGGTTCAAAAACCTCAATACAAATATGATATAAATAAAGTTATTTGCTTCATTGAACAGGTAAATGTTTCAACTTATAGAAATGAAAGCAATTCCTACAGAAGAAAACATCTAATGTTTTAGCACCTAATGAACAAGGCACTGTGCCTTGCTACCTTGTGAAACTATCTTCCCAGATTGGTTTGTTATTGTTCAAAAAAAAGGTAGAATTAAGGTGGGGATCAAATTAGTTTCCTAAATTGATAAATATGTATTGATATTTATTAATGGATAGGTAAACATTTATTAATATCCTATTCTAAGTAAGTCATTGATAAAATGACATGTTGTTGGCTGGGCGCAGTGGCTCAAGCCTGTAATCCCAGCACTTTGGGAGGCCAACGCGGGCGGATCACAAGGTCAGGAGATGGAGACCATCCTGGATAACACGGTGAAACCCCGTCTCTACTAAAAATACAAAAAATTTAGCCGCCGGGCGTAGTGGCGGGCGCCTGTAGTCCCAGCTACTCGGGAGGCTGAGGCAGGAGAATGGTGTGAACCCGGGAGGCAGAGGTTGCAGTGAGCCCAGATCAAGCCACTGCACTCCAGCCTGGGCGACAGAGGGAGACTCCGTCTCAAAAAAAAGACACATTGTTTATTTTAGCAATGCACTGAGGAAGAAATTATGATCCTTATAAAATGGGCAACAATTACGCATCAGAAATATGCCATGAGTGTTTTTATAAGGAAGGTAATGCAAGAAAATATCACACTTACAAGATATGCACATGGAGGGAAACAAGATAATAGAACAATTTGCCTCTGGCTCATTTAGTTTAGACAATAGGGAAGAACTCAGTCTTAGTATGTGAGCAGTCATTATGATATTGGAAGATAAGTGAAAGGGTGAAGGAGGAGAGATGTGTTACTCAAAGAAAAGCACACTGATAGGAGAGTGGGAAAGAATGATAAATGCCTCTGTAATTGTGAGATTTGGAAAGAGGAAAGAGTGTCTACAGAAGAAATCTCAGAAGCTTTCTGAGAAGTGTGTTAAACAAAAGTTCATGAATACCCTTTAAGGAAATCCTCATTAAATATATATATGAAGTCTTCATTAAATTACATATATATATGTATACACACACATACATATATAAATTATTTAATTTTTTGAGTCAGATTTGTACTTATGTTAAATTATATTAAATGAATATAAATTAATATAAACGTATCATTATGCAGAGACAGAACCAAAAAGGAATCCAACATTTTATAAGTGATTTTCTTCAAATATAATTCTACTTTCAAAGTGCAAGTTATTTTCACAGATTTTAATTAATAACTTATTTTCATCTAGATTTTCCCACACAAAATGATCCCAAAAATTATCTTTAGAAAATAATTGGGATTTTTATATCTTTGAGCCAGTATAAACACAGGTTGGATTCTACAAAGCAAAATAAATGCAAAACGATTAATTATACTCGGTCACCAGGTAAAGTGATTTAAAAATCTATTATAATAAGTTAGCACTAAAAAGTAACTAACTTAGGAAACATGATCTATTTTTTAAACTTAAAAAAAAAAACAACATAACTTGAAGCAATTGTAGGAAATCAACCTCTATTTGATAATTGTTCCCTTCCTTACACAAAGAAATGTGCACAGGTGAAAACTTTCTCCGTAGCTTACTGACTCCCTGCTGTATACCTTCACCTAAAGCAGCATTTTAGAACAATTAGTGACTGTAGAGATGATTATAATGTCACAAATGTGAGATTATGACTTTAGCTAAAGAATAAACAGCAGGAGAAAGGCTATTAAGGAGTAAATATACTATTTCTCAGGAAAAATGATTTGCAATTAGAAAGAAATGGGAACAAGAGAGAACAGACTCAGTTATAATCATTTATGATTTTTTAAAAATTATTGCTAGCTTTAGCAAGAAAATAGTTTTATGAAGTAAGCCATCTGTTGAATTAAAAAAAATTCAAAGAGCACTATAATTTAGAGAAATTCCCCTTTGTCTGGGAAGAAAATCAAATATTTTTAGAATGGAAAATAGGACAAAGATCAAAGCAAAACATTACTAAGTATGACAGATATTATGTATGAATGTAAGTGTTAACTTTGAATCGTTATAGTTACTTGAATGAAATGCTCTGCCAGGATATGTGAAAACTAGATGTCAGAAATCTGAATACTTCCACCTCACCCATCTCATAATGTAAACTAGATTAAACAAGAATGAGTAGAATCCATGGCCAGGCTGTGCCAACATTTCTTTTCTCAATTAGATCACCGTTATTTTTAAAAATAATGTGCGCACAATAGAGATAGATACATAGATACACATGTACACACAAGGAGATAAAAAGGCAATTGAGGTAATAGATAATATTTTTGAGGAACTTTGCTTCAAAAATGTGATTTATTCCCCAAATCTTTTGTATTTTTGCCCCGAGGAAAATATATATATCACCAGCAATCTAAAAGAAAATGTTGAAATAAAATATGAATGGCAAATGAGGTTACTAATGAAGCAGAAAGAAAATCTGAAATTTCTAATTCCGTATCATGAGAAGTACATTCCACATGCAGTAAGGTTTTTGGCTGACAGTTTTTAGGAAAGAAAATAGAATCCTAAAACAGGTGAAGAAATGTAGTAAGATAATGGCCAAATTAAGATACTGAGCACCAGAAAAAAACAAACCACGAGCTTGATTCAAAAATGTTAAACCCAAGAAAACTGCACCTAGAGTAGTCTCAGTAGGGAAGATTTACTCATGGGAAATGAGGCTGTTGAGATAGCAGAGATGGACCATTGTGTCAGTCAGGGTTCTCCAGAGAACAGAACCAATAGAACATGTGCATGTAAGTGAATGTGCATGTGAGTGAATGAAAAGTATGGTCACGTATGTGTGTGTATATGTACGTATGTGTGCATATAAAGAGATTTATCTCAGATATTAGCCCCATTTATTAAATGATATCACTGCAATATCTATATTAGTGTTCAACTAAATAACTAAGTACTATAGCCTAGCTAACTTGACACATAAAACAAATCATCACAATGATACAGAGTCTTCTGAGCTACGACAAGGGATTTGGAGTTGACTCTAAATAAAATGAGAAGCCTTTGATGGGTAGTAGGCAGATGGAAGGAGCTATAACGATGTAAACACAGGGCCTAATAGCAAGACATTTATTGTTATCTGTTTATAATGGTGGTTTTGAGCAGAAATGGCAATATTTAAAGAACTATGAGCAAGTAAGCAGAATGTAAAACTCACTTACCTAGAGAAAACTTTCTAAGTATCCTAATGAGAGGTAACAGCATGCTGGCAGCCGTCGCTCTCTCTTGGCACCACCTGGGCCTCGGGGCCCATTCTGGCCGCGCTTGAGGAGCCCTTCAGCCCGGCACTGCACTGTGGGAGTCCCTTTCTGGGCTGGCCAAGGCCGGAGCCTTGCTGGGCTCCCTTAACTTGCTGGGAGGTGTGGAGGGAGAGGCGCGGGCGGGAACCGGGGCTGCGCGCGGCGCTTGCGGGCCAGTGCGAGTTCCGGGTGGGCGTGGGCTCGCAGGCCGGCACTCGGAGAGGCCGGCCGACCCCGCCGCCCCAGGCAGTGAGGGGCTTAGCACCTGGGCCAGCAGCTGCTTTGCTAGATTTCTCGCCCGGGCCTTAGCTGCCTCCCCGCGGGGCTGGCCTCGGGACCTGCAGCCCGCCATGTGGGAACCTCCCCCCACCCACCCGCCGTGGGCTCCTGCGCAGCCCCAGCCTACCCGACGAGCGCCGCCCCCTGCTCCACGGCGGCCAGTCCCATCGACCGCCCAAGGGCTGAAGAGTGCGGGCGCACGGTGCGGGACTGGCAGGCAGCTCCACCTGCAGGGCTGGTGCGGGATCCACTAGGTGAAGCCAGCTGGGCACCTGAGTCTGGTGGGGACTTGGAGAATCTTTATGTCTAGCTAAGGGATTGTAAATACACCAATCAGCACTCTATCTAGCTCAAGGTTTGTAAATGCACCAATCAGCATCCTGTGTCTAGCTCAGGGTTTGTGAATGCACCAATCCACACTCTGTATCTAGTTAACCTGGTGGGGACTTGGAGAACCTTTATGTCTAGCTAAGGGATCGTGAATGCACCAATCGGCACTCTGTGTCTAGCTCAGGGTTTGTAAAATACACCAATGGAGACTCTCTATCTAGCTAATCTAGTGCAGATGTGGAGAACTTTTGTGTCTAGCTCAGGGATTGCAAATGCACCAATCAGCACCCTGTCAAAACGGACCAATCAGCAGGATGTTGGTGGGGCCAGATAAGAGAATAAAAGCAGCCTGCCAGAGCCAACAGTGGCAACCTGCTGGGGTCCCCTTCCACACTGTGGAAGCTTTGTTCTTTCACTCTTTGCAGTAAATCTTGCTGTGGCTCACTCTTTGGGTCCACACTGCCTTTATGAGGTGTAACACTCACTGCGAAGGTCTGCAGCTTCACTCCTGAAGCCAGCGAGACCACGAACCCACCAGGAGGAACGAACAACTCCAGACGCGCCGCTTTAAGAGCTGTAACACTCACCGTGAAGGTCTGCAGCTTTACTCCTTAGCCAGTGAGACCGCGAACCCAGCAGAAGGAAGAAACTCCGAACACATCCGAACGTCAGAAAGAACAAACTCCAGACACGCTGCCTTTAAGAACTGTAACACTCACCGTGAGGGTCTGTGGCTTCATTCTTGAAGTGACTGAGACCAAGAACCCACCAATTCCGGACACACTAAGAAAACTGTCAGTCACAATTGCAAGGCTCCCAGGAAGGGTAAAGAGTTTATTTATAAAAGTGTTCACAGAAACAGTTTACCAAAATACTCAAAGAATAATACAGATATTTCCTTAGTCTGTATTTTTGCTTTGTCTGCTTTTCAAATGTTCAAATGATTATAAAAAAAATTTCAGAGACAACTAATATATTACAATTTTAAAAAATAAATTTGCATTGACTTTTTCAGTAAAATCAGATTTATTATAGTATTTAATCAGCGCAGAAATGCTGAATATATATTTTTAATGGCTAAAACATAAATTGAAGTATACTGATATGAGGAGAACATCAATTATATTCCAAGTCAATTTATATGATAGATCATCTGCGCTGGGAAACTAGACTTAACAATTATGGAACACAGGAATAAAATAACAATGTAGGTGCATTTAAATATGCTTTTATGAAATGTCTATTTTATATTGTTTTTCTTAAGCTAAAAATATTATCTTTCTTCTCTAATAAGCATAATAAATATTTTCTCCTTTCTAGCTATACTGAAATTATGTACTACCATCACCACTATAATTTTAAAGCTCATAAAATATTTTTTAGTTCATATAAATTGTTTCCTTAGTATGAGTTATCTGGCTTCTAACAGTCATAACTCTTAGCATTCATATTGAACTTCTTCTCTAAGAACTCAGATAACTTAAGTCATTAGCTAATTAAACTGCCAACTAATTACATCCTTGTAATTTATAAGGCATTTAATGTTTTCCTTATTCCCCTTCCTGGATACTAATCTTTATTTGGATTGGAAACATTCTATTTTGATAGCATCTCTCTATTATTTGGAGTGCCTTAGGTTAAAGTACTTCCATTGATTCTTTGCATTTAGTTTTTAAATAGCATGTTTTCTGATAAAGACAATGTAGGGTCTGTTTCCAAGTCCAGGCAGGCCGTTCAATGTAATAATTTTATTTTTTTTAATTCAAAATCATGATTCTATAGCAGGCAATTGCATACACTGCAAAGACTTGCGGAAATGGGCAATCCAGAATGTATAAAATGCAGAGTATGATTACTTACAAAGATTGTAAGTGCATCTAACCAGTGTATTTTCATTAGAAATAGATTAGATACTATATAAATGGGGTCAGTCATTGGAGGAACTCATAATGACTTCTTTATTGGGAGTATACATCACTGCTAAAGTCACAGGGGAGCTTGGTTTGTGTGATGGTCGTTTGACATTAACACTGTACTCCAACCTGACCCAGAGAGAGTATCTATCTTCAAAAGATGGCTCCCAGAGTATCATTCAACTCATTCTGTGTGGTTGTTCCCTACAGAGTCCATGTATAGCTTTTATCTTTGCTTTTGGAGACCTTTGACTTCAGAAGGTACTCTGAAGAAAAATCACAAAGGTTCTAAGAGTTATAGAGGCTTCATAACCTCTACTTAAAAAAACAGTACTTGTTATAGTATTGCTAATGTAGAACTCATCAGTTATGTAAAGTGGAAAAATCTTTACACAGAATAAGTCATAATAAATATTTCAAATAAGATTCTGTTATTTTAAGGATATTTTCAAAGCATAAGTCAAGTTGTAAATATGTATAACTTGCAAATTATTTCTGTACTAAGTATAATATTTAAGAATTATTTAGAAGCTGCCAATTATTCTAATTATTTAGAAGCTACCAACAAAATTCAAAGAAAATATTTATATCTTTTCATTTCCTTCTATTTGGACAATGAAATTATCTCAATTTTATAGAAACAATGTCTTTCTAATTAATCCAGAGAGTTGCAGTAAGAAGTTATGGAAACTTTTCAAATAGTTTAAATTGTTTTCATAAAATACCAGAGGCAGACTTACCTGTTTCCTCATGCATTTCACAAATTTGAGATTTCCCACTGAAACTCACCCAATTGCCCAACAGACTGTCCTTTTTGATAAATGTAGAAATTCACCTTCCTGGTCTTAAAAGTTTGATACTTACACTTGTTTTATCTGAGTTTCTTCCTCAGGAAATGACCTTCAGGCCTCTCACAAAAGTATCAAAGAACTGAAACCAGATTGGACCCCTCATTCAACAAGGTTGCTTCCTTGCCCCTCCCAAGTTTCCTTTTTCTCACACATTGTTACGTTTCTTGCCTGCTGCTATATACACCTCTGGTTTTAGTCAGTCAGGGAGTTGGATTTGAGACTGAGCTCTCATCTCCTCGACTGTAGCACCCAATTAAAGCCTTTTTCGTTGGTAATACTCAGTGTCTCAGTGACGGGCTTTTTGTTTGTTTGTTTGTTTTGATGGAGTCTCTCTCTGTCGCTAGGCTGGAGTGCAATGGTGCCATCTCAGCTCACTGCAACTTCTGCCTCACGGGTTCAAGTGATTCTCCTGTCTCAGATTCCCGAGTAGCTGGGACCGGGACTACAAGAGGGCGCCATCACGCCCAGCTAACTTTTGTAATTTTAGTAGAGATGGGGATTCACCACGTTCGCCAGAATGGTCTCGATCTCTTGACCTCGTGGTCTGCCTGCCTCAGCCTCCCAAGTGCTGGGATTACAGGCCTCAGCCACTGCGCCTGGCCAGTGATGGGCTTTTTGTGTGGCAAACAGCAGGACTGACACCGAAACCCTGGTGTGTCGGTAACACTACTCCGTACTAGGAACACAGCAAGACATTGGGAATAAGATAGTGAGCAAAAGGATATATAGTCCCTGCTTGCTATCATTCTTTTGGTGTAATGGGTACACTAGCACTGGAAAAAAAGAAACAACAATAAATGTAGAAATACAGATTAAGATGTGTTATAAAGGCAAATGGGTTCTGTGAAAAATAAGTTAGAAAAATACCCTGTATTTGAATGGAGGATTAGGAATAGTATCTTAGGGAAATTTATAGTCGTCCTAAATTATTTTCTTAAATCTTTTAATGTATTTATTTTTATTGATAAATAAAATTTGCATCTCGTTATGGGGTACCTGTAGTATTTTGTTATATGCATATAATGTGTAATGATCAAGTCAGAATATGTCCTAAATTGTGACATTTGAGTAAAGATAGCATAATACTGATAATGGGGGTTCTGATTTTAAGAGAATGGAATATAAGGGAAATAATGTGCAAAATATCAGTGGTAGGAGAAAACATGGAACAATGGTGAAATTGAAACAAGGTCAGGAAGGTTCAGGCACAAAAACCAGGAGCAGATTAGTTGTAACCAGGTTAGAAAGGGAGGCAGCGATTACGTTAGTGGGTCTTTAAACCTCTTGAAGAACTGTACTTTTTTTCCAAATAGCGATAAAAAGTTAAGAGAAATATTAACCAAGTGAATAAAGTCAATGTAAAAAACATTTTGTGCTACAAAATCAATAAACCTAGAGGATATTATTAAAACTGAAAGGAGTCAGACACAGAAAGACATACTGCAGGGTCTCAGTATTTTTATTATTATTATTATTTGTTAAAGTCAAATAAGCTACAGAGACAAATCTCTGAAATTAAAATAGTTTATTTGGGAGAAAATAATTGCAATTCAGGGCATACATGCAAACCGAGTTGTCTTCAATATGTCCGAAGAACAAAAGGAAGGTTAGAGGTCTTATAAAAAGTATAAATATTACATATTGCTCTTTGAGAAATGTCACTGGCACTAGTAAGGTTCTGAGGAGGAGGCAAGTTTTGACTGGTAAGTGATGATGGTGGGCAAAACTAGTCTTAGAGTTACAGCAGCTCTTTTAGGAGCCATTTGACAAAACTGGCTTAGGGTTACAGCAGGCAGTTTTAGCTGCAGGGCTTGCAGTGAATTACATTTTTTGGAGCAACATTCTGCACCTGAGTGTTTTTCCCCGCTGGCTTCTCAACTCTGTTTTAGTTAGAATGACAAGAATGGCCCAATTTGTATAATCATCTTTCACAGATTCAATATGGGGAATATTTAAAAGAAAGGGAATAGATAGAAACAGAAAGTAGAGTGGTGGCTAGCAGATGCTAGGGTGGGTTGGGTGGAGCTGTAGGTGAAGAATTGGGAAGGTATAGGTTAAAGGGTACAAAGTTGCAGTTATATTGGCTAGATAAGTCTAGAGAGCTAATGTATAAAAAAAAGCCTCTAGTTAATAATATTGTACTGTATACTGTACAATATTATTATTGGTAATTTGCCAAGTGAGTAGAATTTAGGTACTCTTACCAGTTATTTAAACTTGGAAATGGTTATATAGTTTCAAATATATGCATAATTTAAAAAAAAGGAAAAGAAAAAACTATATGAGATAATAAGTATGTTAATTTGCTTAACTGTAGTAATCACCTTACTATGTATATCTAAACATCACGTACACCATATATATATAAACATATAATACATACATTTATGTGTGTGTGTGTGTGTGTGTATGCTGATCTCTGAATCTACTCTGGTCCTCTCCAATCCATTTTACACATTAAGGCCAAATATATTTACGTGTAATATATGTATTTTTTTTAAACATTGTATTTTATATACACATTCACAGATTAAGGCAAATTATATATACATGTATATTTGGCCTTAATGTGTAAAATGGATTGGAAAGGACCAGAGTAGATTCACAGAGCCCACCATATGTGTGTGTGTATATATACACACGTGTACATATGTGTATACATGTACATATGTGTGTATATATGTACATATATGAATATATTATATATACACATGTATATGTGTATACAGTGTACAATGTGATGCTTTTTATATATACATATATAGTTATTTCATATATACATATATGTATGTATTTCATAGCTATGCATATGTATATGTATGTATATATATTTGGTATTAATGTGTAAAACGGTTTGGAGAGTACCAGAGTAGATTCATAGAGACCAGCATGAGGAGCATGAAGAGTTCAGTAATAGAAATAGAGAAAAATCTAAGACCTAGGTTGTGGTTAGTGAAAAAAAAGGAATAAATCAAGAATGATAGTTTTCTGGCTTTAGCTTCAAAATGAATAGCACCTATTCTAGAATTTTTATTCTGGGGGGTCAGGGGCTAGTTTCACAGGAAAGATCAGAATTTAGTTTAAAAACTATGAGGTATTGCTGAGACATTCAGATGGATAACTCTGGTAGCTATTTAGGTATATGAGCTATTATTCTAGGAAGTGCTATTGGCAAATATATAAATGTGAATGTCATCTGCCCAAAAAGGATTACTGAAGCCCTGAGAGTGAATGATTTTCCCAAAAGAAATGCAAAAATGTAAAATATAATATAATAAGAGAGCCTTGGGAGATACTGTTAAACATCAATATTTAAATGCTACAAATGCAGCTTTAGGGAGGAAAGGTATTCAGATTTGGGAACACAGTTTTCAGGGAAAAAGCAGTTTTCAGAGTATTTGCTGCAGATGCAGGATTTTATATGTATGATTCTCTTTGGAAAAGATAGGCCTATTCTAGCTGTAGAACAAAAATATTGATAGAAAAAAATATATATTTCCCAATGTATTCATTCTCGACACCCCGCCCCCGGCAACAACATACACTCCTTTTGAGTATTTTTTTTACTCCTACCACCTTTCACTTTTTTTTTTTTCTTTTTTTGAGACAGAGTCTCACTCTGTCGCCAGGCTAGAGTGCAGTGGCACAATCTCGGCTCACTGCAACCTCCACCTCCCAGGTTCAAGTGATTCTCCTGCCTCAGCCTCCCAAGTAGCTGGGACTACAGGTGCACGCCACCATACCCGGCTAATTTTTGTATTTTTAGTAGAGACAGTGTTTCACCATGTTGGCCAGGATGGTCTCCGTCTCTTGACCTCGTGATCTGCCCACCTTGGATTCCCAAAGTGCTGGGACTACAGGCGTGAGCCACCGCGCCCGGCCCTTTCACCTTTTAATATACAGTGTAATATACTTATTTATCATATTTATCTTCTGCTTTCTCCCACAGGAATGTAGACTTCAAAATGGCAAGATTTTTTCTTTCACTGTATCACAAGCATTTTGACAATGCCTTCCACATAGTAGATGATCAATAAATATTTATGGAATAAAGAAATGAATTAGAGAGAATACATTGGAGGAGATCAATGGTATGTTCAAAGCAATTTACAGTACCCGGTTAAGTTGTTGAAGAGGCTGGAAATAGTATGACAATGATCACATTGTCATAGGACCTTGTAGGATTTGTTTCTGTTTCAAAACCATTATCCAGGTCATTGGAGACCACTAAAATTTGCAAAAAATAAAAATGATAACATAAGAACAATATTCTAGAATGATATTTCTGGTAATAGTATGAAAGCTTTATCAGATAATAGGAAAATAGTGATAAATATTATTCAGGAACGTGTCTTATTCCGTAAGATTTTTGACAAGGTAATAGCAGCTTGAGAAAGAGATGGGTGTAAGTCAAATCATTGTAGTATTGCTGAAGCAAATAGTGGACAGAATAACAAACCTAGAGTTAGAGAGCAACTTGGTACTCTATCAAAATAAGGTTTTGTGTGTTTGTGTGTGGAGTATGTTTTAATGTACCACAAAGACTAAACTTTAGGAATTCAACACTGTTGTTCATGTAATTTTTTTGTGGATTCCAATTGCGAAATCCTGGATTGTCCTTACCTGGCCTGGTTCTTCTCTGTATCCCAAAACTCAGCTTGGGAGCTCACAACATCTTTGTTTTTTTTGCCCCCATGTCATATTAGCAATGATTCGTCAACTTATTTCAACTATTTAGTCTTTGAATGTTTCTATTCTGCAACCAGACTCAGCATCTAACTATATGTGTTTTGTCAAGTCCTCTCTCCAACTTCTTTTTTATACTGAAAAGACAGGACAGTGAAGAAAAAAAAATGTGCTCTTTTTCTTCAATCAACAGAGGGGATTTTGACGTTTATCAGTTTTCATGGAAGAATATAAGCTTATTCACTAGGGAATAGCGATGGTGTTCCATTTAAATTTTATTCCTGTGTTCCGATTTAAAATGTGTCCCCCTCACACTGGCTCAAAGGACATGGTATCTCTCAGCCTGATTCATCAGTGTATTGCACTCAGAGCGCATAATGAGAAAAGGGAAAGAACACTATCAACATCAATCCGTGCTTAGCTGAGGGCTTGGTTATAAAATGATGGTGATAAAACCAGACACTTAAAACTGGAAATAGCCATTATATGAATAATATACTCTCATGCTCATTGACAAATAAAACTTTCAAGCTACTGCAGGCAAAATTAAGCGATGATGCTTCCATACAACCCCCATCCCACCCCAACTTCTGGAATCCAAGTTAGCAAGTAGCAAATAAAAGTAAATTTGTTGCAGTTTGACATCTTTTATGTTCAAGTATCTCACCACATATTTATTTATTTGGCAGTTTCTAGTAGCGGTGAACCAGTATCAATAATCTTTCTTAAAGTTTTTTTTTTTTTTTTTTTGTAGGTTGACAAAACCAGTTTCCCCCTCACTGTCCCTAAGCACATTTCCCCAACTGTTGAGTTTTCCTTATGTAGCCTTCTGCCCAATCCTATGAAAATCCTATGAAAATCCTAGGTCCTATATGACCTAGCTGTGAATGTGGATATGTTATGTAGGTTAAGAGTAGGACCTTTGGAATCACAACGAGTACATTTGGACCTCATCTCAGTCACTTATATTCTATACACCTCAGTTCTCCCACTTTGAAAATGCAGATATCATGTGCTAAGGAGGAGTCAATGAGATAATCCAGGTAGGGCACTTAATATGATGTGTGGTTTATAATAAGCCCTCAAAATGGTTTGCTCTTATTACTGTTGGCCTTCCCAGTGTTTATTTTCAAGAACACTACATTGGAAATGCATCACTAACTGTAGGTGAATATATAGTCACCAACTGTGATTCAGTCAAGGGAGGTTCAGATAACACTTTTATTTGCTATTTCTTTATTCACTATTTCTAGAAAATCTGTTACTTTGCACATATAGTGTACATTTAAGTGTATTTATGTCTTGCCATAAAAATATTATGCATTTGGTTTGCTATGTTGCCTGAAATTTCTTCCACTTTTTAGGTACATATATTTTCTCCAGGAACATCTGAAATACAGTTGCAATACGATCTATGTAATAGATACAAGATCTCAAAAATCATTTCTTTCACTGGTTTCTGAGCAAAATGCAAGAAGCTAAGGAGCAGATGTAATAAACTTTGCTGGGAATAAGGGAGAAATATAGAGAAGGTGACACTGAGCAGTGACCTATTGAAAAATATCTTATGGGAACCCCAGTCATGGAGCACAAAGATTCTGAAAAAAAAAAAAAAAAAAAAAAAAAAAAAAAAGTTCGGAGAAATGAGCTCAGAGGTTCAGAGGTTAGCCCTAGACCACAGTATGAACATATCATGTGGCATATTCAACAAAAGTAAACAAAAGTAAGTAAACAAGTCATGTCTAGAGTAGAAATACATACCTTGTGGTTATTGGTATTTTCATAACTCAGTTTTATTGCTTCAAATAGGGAAAATTATTGAACAACCTTTAAAAGGACTCCATGATGAAACATATTGGAGAATTATGATGCACACTACAAAGTTCTATTTTGATAATTATATTATTAGGTGTAGAATTACTGACAAATAATCTATTTGAATTATTTTTTTAAATAAGTGCTTATAAGTAATATGTAGCTGTATGTTCAAGAATGGTAACATTTGTGGCTGGATGTGGTGGTTCATGCCTGTAATCCCAGCACTTTGATAGGTCGAGGTGGGCGGATTACTTGAGGTCAGGAGTTCGAGACCAGCCTGGCCAACATGGTGAAACTCCATCTCTACTAAAAATACAAAAATTAGCTGGGCATGGTGGTGAACGCCTGTAATCCCAGCTACTCAAGAGGCTGAGGCTGAAGAATTGCTTGAACCTGGGAGGTGGAGGTTGCAATGAGCCAAGATCATGCCACTGCACTCCAGCCTGACAACAAAGTGAGACTTGGTCTCAAAAAAAAAAAAAAAAAAGAATAGCAACATTCAATGAAGAATAATTTCATTGCATACTCAAAAAACGTAAAAATTATAATATTTATATCTTTTCACCTAGACAGGGGAACATGTAGACTCTACAATATGTATATTATTAAATCATTTTATTCAAAAATAGATTATTACAAATAAAACATTTTGGAAGGCAGAGAATTTGATTTAAGATCACTGAATATAAACAGGTGTAAACAAAGAAAGGTACAAACGTGTGTCATATTTACATTTACTTATTTATATTTATATTTATATTTCTGTTATCACTTTTTTATAGCTTTTAGATCTTATTGCTTCTTACCATATTGTTTTCTATTTTCTTCCATTATTCTTGAAAAATGTTCAGCCCTTCTGCCATGATTTATTTCCTTATCCATAGATTAAAAGTAAACAATAAAATTAATTTTAAAAACACGGAACAAATATATCATTCATCCATGTGACTTTAACATCATGTACTCAGAAAAATCCTCATGTAAAGTGACATCTCAATATCCTTATCTGATTAAGTTTTTCTCAAAATACTTATCATATACTGACATTTATATATATGTATATATGTGTATGTATATATGCAAATATAATGAAATACACACATATCCACATTATTTCATTAATTTACAAATTCTCACTAATACTAAGTAAATAAATTATTTTAGTCCCTTTTTGACCACAAGATAGTTACATTTTCTTTACCATCAGAAAAAGCAGTCTGCTGAAAGAAACAGGGGCCATAAGTAATAGGGGCTTAAACTATGCAGAAATTTATTAACCCATTTACCAAGAAGGCTAGAGGGTGGTGGATGCTGGCATCTATTTGTGCATAACAAAAATCATACAGGATTTCTTTTTTGCTGTCTGTTGTCCTTTATTCATCACCTTATGATTACCATAGGGCTATCACAATCCTTAACATCAAATCTAAATATTAGGTAGAATAAAATGTTAAAGGTAAGAAGGTAAAACTCTGTGCCTTGCACTTTAGTGAGAAAGTAGACATTTCACCAAAAACATCCCAGGAGACTTGACCTTAAGTTTTACTGGCCGAGCAAAGTTAACCTGGAACAAAGTCAGTGGGAAAAGAGGGGTTTGTAAACCCATATTGGCCAGGCAATGTACTGTGCCTGCCAAGGTGTGTTATACTCTTTCTTGTGTAGTTTAGTATTTCTAGCTCCTAGACTCTGTGAGGATTCTGGCACATTAATTTGCTTTTTAATATTATTTTATCTAGTACTGTTAAATAGTTTGAAAATGGAATTAAATTAAATCATCTTTTCTGTGCTTTTTCATAAAAATTGCCCTACTGTTCTGGTCATAGGCACTAATAACGATTGATTTAAAACAAAGGAACAAGAAGACCATGCCATTATTCTTTCTTAGTAGTGGTTCTGGATCATTTGTTGAGTTAAACTATTTCTAACAATCTGCTATTTATTTACCAGGTTTTCCTTTCAAATTTAGAAAGTTATAGTAAAATTCTTTATCTTTTTATTATGAAATTCACAGAGATTTTTCATACTATTAAAGACCCTAAATGAAGCACCAAATTTATCAGATATTTAAAAAGTGTTAAAAGTGATAAAGCACATGAAACCAACTTATTTCGCAAATATAATAATTATAGTACATCTGGCATAATTTCTGCTGGTCCTCCCTGCTGTTTTTTCTCAGTGGAGATTTGGGCTCCAGATGTTGCTGATGCAGTTGGATGGTCACCCACAGTCTTATCACCCTAAGGCACAAGAGCTGGAGCCAAAACTGGCTCAAAGTTCTTGATGGCAAAAATTTTCAGAACAGCAGAAATTCCTTGAAAACAAATGATCACGTCCTACATTATCAAAAGTTAGCTTTACAGAAATTGTCTTATTTATAGAAATATGAAAAGAAGTTTTAAATTGCTTGATTTGTTTCTTTAAAAGATCTATATAATTTTATTATGAAATTCCATACTCATTAATAAACTACAATATCATGAATATGATTTCTTATTTTATCCTGTAGATATCAAACAGAAAATTATTTTAAAATGGTATCTATACTCCTGATACATACACATCCTTTCCTTTCCTTTTTGTTTTTGAGACAGTGTCTTTCTTGCTTTGTCACCAGGACGAGGATGGAGTGCAGTGGTGAGATCATAGCTTGCAACACCCTCAAACTCCTAGGCGACAGCCTCAAACTCCAAGCTCAAGCGATGCTGCCGCCTCAGTCTCCTGAGTAACTTGGACTACATGTACCTCATTATGTCTGGCTATTTAAAAAAAAGTGTAGAGACAAAGGTTTCACTATGTTGCCCAGGCCAGCCTTAAACTCCTGGCCTCAAGTGATCCTCCTGCCTTGGCCTCCCAAAACCCTGGTATTATTGGCATGGGTCACTGTGCCAAGCTCCTGAAGTCTTTATAAAGGCACTAATTCCATACATGAGGGCTCTGACCTTATGATCTTATCACCTCTCAAAGACCTCACCTGTAAATACCACCACTTTTGGGAGAATTAGGTTTTGACATATGATTTTGAGGGGACATAAGTATTATCTATAGCAATTAATTCAATTACTTACTTGTTATAATCAGATAGTATCATTTAAAAGTGAAGTTATTTTCTAACATTTATCTATTATAATTTATTTCATATTTAAGCCACCCATATTTTCCGTATTAGTTTTCCATTGCTACTATGACAAATTAACACAAATGTAGTGATTTAAAATAATACAAATTAATATTTTTCATGTCCTGGAGTTCAAAAGTCCTAAAAAATAATTGGTCAACAGGGCTATGTTCTTTCTGGAAACCCCAGGAGCGATTCCAACTCTGCCTTTTCTAGCTTCTAGAGATCACTTGTATTCCTTGGCTCATGGGCCCTTCCTCCCCATTGAAAGCCAAATTTAGCATTTTCAAGTCTCTCTCGCTCTCTCTTCTCGATTTCTATCATTATACTTATTTTTTACCTTGAAAAAACACTAAATATTACATCAAATATTACATTTAAAAATCTCAATAAATATTTTGATTCTGACCATCCTGCCTCCCTTTTTGAACAACTTTTGTGATTACATTTGGATCCATCCAGACATTCAAATAATCCCTCTATGTCAAGTTTCTTAAATTAATCACATCTGTAAATTTTTTTTTTTTTTTGCTATGGCAAGAAACATATTTAGATTTCCACAATTGGGGCAAGAACATCATTAAACTCTTATTAAACCTACCAAAATTCCCTTTCAATTATTACACAAAAAGGCCTACCTCACGTAACTGACTGCCACCAACTAAATGTCAATGATCTAGAAACGAACTAAATAAATATAAGTACAAAAAAGTACATAAATAAGGTGGATTTAGTCAATTTTACATTCTTTATTCATGGAGGTACATATTGATCCTTACTTCATTAATAATTCTTCATGGTTTGATTTTCCTTAACCGCAGAACTTTAAATGTACAGGATCATAAGAAGAAAGTGCCCACACAAAGCAGATTTGATTGGCAGTTGTAAGAACTAGAAACTTAGAACCTGATATTCTTTCTGGGGCTGAGGGTTGAATTCCAAGAGGTCAATGAACTTCTCACCTCATGCAAAATTTGAGTACACATGGGAATATTAAAACTTAGTTTCTTTTTACCATACTAATGAAGCATCTAGATTTCTAAACCAGAGTCAGAACTAATGTGAAACAAAGAAACATAAAGTTATCATAAAGCTTTAAATTTTTTTTGCCCTATTTAAAAAACTCAGCAGGATGACTTACATTTGGGAAATATTTCTATGCAAGATTTTTAAAGTAAATTAATTATTTTGCTTGAAGCAGTAAACACTAACTGAAATATTTACTGACATAAAATATGGCACTAAAGATAACAAGTAATTGCAACTTTTCTTTGATACAAAACCAGCAACTTTATCAACCCCTTATATGGACTCTTTGTAGTACACTTATTTGACAAAGACAGCACAGAAATTTTGTTATACTAATCATTAGTATCATTCTTGTCTCAAAGTATCAGTGACCATACTTTAAGACTGCAATTGCCTTTTAATTTGTATGTTGAAATGAATTAAGAATATGGATAATAATAAGAATATAGATAACAAGAATGAATAATAAGATGGTGAATTTTCATCAGCTTTAGAATTTATGGAATTTATTTCTCCTGATACATATAGTAAATTGTACACATTATTTTAATTATTTGTTTTATCTTATGTTTTACTTCAGAAAAACTTTTGCTATTTGCTGTTTCATGCATCTTTAGTTATGTTTCTCTGTTTACTTTTGTTAGGAGCTATGTTATGAAAAAATCTAATTTGACAATATGTTTTTCTTTTCTAGAAATTTGGGATATAAGTAATCAATCTTTACAGTACATAATGCCGTCATGAATGAAATTAGTTGTCAAATGAGAATACTATCAGCTCAAGTGGTTGATTGTGCAATATGCACACTATAATAGAAGAATTATCTTAGTTGCTGCTCATCTATCATTTTCAAGCAGTCTTTTAAAGACATAAGCAGACATTGGACATTTGGAAGCTTCAGGTGACAGATCATTTTAAGAGAAATAATTTAAACTTTGAAGGTAGAATAGAAGTGTCTGGTTACCCTGTATCATGAGATTCTAAAAAAAGATAAATAAGGATGTACCTTTTCAATGTTTTTATATGTTTTGTGTATAAAGTCCTATATTTGATAGGCTTTATAGGTACAGCAAGGAGAAAGTGAATGAATGAGAGAGGTAAAAGTAAAAACTGTTTAAACCATGTATGTTATCCTTAATTATACTAAATTTCCTGAGACTAGATGAGTGGACCAGACGCATTGGTTTTGGAAGAATTGCACTTATGAAAGTAGAATATATCTCTCTATTGTAAATGATACCGAAGGATAATATTAAGCACAGTTGGAATAGGAGACTAGAACGATAGGAAAAGGTCATGGGGGCTAACATTAGTTAACTGGCCTAAATGGTTTATATTGCTTATCTTGCATAGTCCTTCTTAGAACTCTATGATACTGGGGTCCAGTTTTATTTGAATTTCAGAAGTAAGATTACTAACCCTAGACCTGTTAA
Source organism: Homo sapiens (assembly GCF_000001405.40). NCBI lineage: Eukaryota > Metazoa > Chordata > Mammalia > Primates > Hominidae > Homo > Homo sapiens. The sequence goes on along the minus strand of NC_000013.11, from coordinate 89,868,883 downwards.
GTAACATGTCAACAGTTACATAGGTAGTAAGTGCCAGAGACTTGGGATATGAGTACATTTATTCATTCACCAAATATGTTAAGCCAGGCCACTGAGGATATGAAGTTCTACCATCACTGATCATAATTCTACAGGAGGTATCATAAAATAAATGGGAAAACAGTTAATATAGAAAGTGGTAATAAAGAGTAATGAGTAAAAAGTAAAGAGGGGATAAGGAATTAAAAGAACAAGGCTTGCTGATACTCGAGTGTCTTATTCTGTTTTTGCTGCTATACAAGATATCTGAGACTGGTACATTTATTTATTTATGTATTTGTTTTGTTTGATTTATTTATTTATTTATTTTTCAGACAGAATTTTGCTCTTGTCACCCAGGCTGGAGTGCAATGGCGCAATCTCAGCTTACTGCAGCCTCTGCCTCCCTGGTTCAAGCAATTCTCCTGCCTCAGCCTCCTGAGTAGCTGGAATTACAGGCGCCTGCCACCACGTCTGGCTAATTTTTATATTTTTAGTAGAGATGGGGTTTCACCATGTTGGCCAGGCTGGTCTCAAACTCCTGATCTCAGGTGATCCACCCACCTCGGCCTCCCAAATGGTACATTTATTTAAAAAATATATGTATATTTCTTATAGATTGGGAGAATGGGAAATGCAAGGTTAAGTCACTGGCAAGTTCGGTGTCTTGAGAAACCCTGGTCTCTGTTTCCACGGTAGCACGTTGATTACTGTGTCCTTACATGGTCATAGGGGAAAGGGCCCCAAAATTTTGGAAGCCTTCTTTATAAGAGCCTTAATACCATTCAAAAGAGGTCTCCTGACGTAAGCACCTGTTAAGGGCCCCACGTTTTACCATTATCTCTTTGGCAATTACGTTGCAACACGGATTTTGGAGGGGACACAAACATTCAAACCATAGCACTGGGGGAATAACATTTCAGGCAGATAATTAGCAAGTATAAGACTGGGGTGTTCAAGCAAAAGCTAGGGGGCCAAGAGACCTGCATTAAGCCTCTGATGATGATAGCCTCAGGAATAGACGAGATGTGACACCAGCCAATGTATGGTCTGGTTTTATAGACTGTGTAGAAATTTTAAGTCTGGTCTGGCATATAAAGACATTAAATAATTTTGAGTGGAGAAGGAACATGCCATAACTTAAACTCTAAAAGGATCACCCTGCTAGCCACTGACAGAAGTGATTGATTAGTATGAAGTCAGGGTTGAGAGTAGAAGAAAGGAAGCCAGAAAAGATTCAAATTAATTGTCTGGGAGACAAATTATGTTTGTGTTGACAAAAATAATAGTGGTGGTAGTGTTGAAAACTTTGCAAGTATGTCTCTAGAAGTCTTTGTATTGTTTTGTACATAGATGACAGGCAAATAGAGATGTCAAGAAGTTTGATACCAAAATCTGGAGGAGTCATATAAAAATACTGGTGGTTAAGATAGACATTACTGATAATATTGTCAGGGAAATGGTGCAGATATAGGATAGAGTCAAGGAGAAAACACTGCAGAGTGCTGATAGGATCAAGCAGAAAAGTAGGGAGCTAGAAAACAAAATTAAAGTGGAGTGGGCAGTGAATTCACATGAAAACAAGTAGGAAATGCTCTTAAAATCAAAGAAAGCTGATTTTGAACTAATTGGCTAAATAAGATGAGAGAATTTAGTTTATTTCCATGTAGTATCTTTTTTTTTTTTTTTTTTTTTTGAGACGGAGTCTAGCTCTGTTTCCCAGGCTGGAGTGCAGTGGCACGATCTCGGCTCACTGCAAGCTCCGCCTCCCAGGTTCACGCCATTCTCCTGCCTCAGCCTCCCGAGTAGCTGGGACTACAGGCGCCTGCCAATACGCCTGGCTAATTTTTTTGTATTTTTAGTAGAAACGGGGTTTCACCATGTTAGCCAAGATGGTCTCTATCTCCTGACCTCGTGATCCGCCTACCTCGGCCGCCCAAAGTGCTGGGATTACAGGCATGAGCCACCACGCCCGGCTGCTCCATTTACTATCATTAAACAAATGGTGGGTTTTCTTGATTGTAACATGAATAATATCAGTAGAAAAGTTGGGCACATATTTCAATTTGAGGAAAGTTGAATGAATGGGAAGTAAGGAAGCACAATAGCATGAACACACAATGCTCGAAAAGAGAGTAGATGATAGGGGCAGTATCTCTTGTGGGATGTGTTGTCAAGAGAGTTTTGTTTTTTGTCAAGAAGGATTATTTTTATATTAAATTTGGTAACTGATGAGCTAATTCTGTGTTAAATAGTGATGGCTGTTGCAAGGAAAATAAGAGTAAATTAAGGAGCAATGTTTCTCTGGAATCTGGAGGAAATGAGATCCAAAGTAGAGAGTGGAAGTGGGGTGACTTTTCTGATAGGTAAAGGGACGTTTTTTCCCCTATTATAATAGAAGGGAAGAAAGAGAGTTGGTAAACATGTAGGTTGTCTTGCAGATATGGTAGACTGAATAATGCCTTCCCACCCCTCAGTGGTGCTCATGTTCTAATTCCTCAAACCTGTGAATGCATTACCTTGTATGGCAAAAGGAACTTTGTAGATGTGAGCAAGTTAAGGATTCTGAGATGGGAAATTACTCTTCATTATTTAGGTAGGCACAGATGTGATCACAGTGGTCCTTGGAGGGAGCCAGGAGAATCTGAATAAGAGAAGAACACATGAAGATGGAAGCAGAGGTAAGAGTGGTCCCCTTGCTAAAAGGGGCCCTTAAACCAAGAGATGCAGTAGCCTCTAGAAACTGAAAAATACAAGAAAAAAGATTCTTTTCTAGAGTCTCAGAAAGAACAAAGTCCTGCTGACATTTTAATTTTATTCCATTTAGACCCGCTGTTGAAATTCTGATGTCCAAAACTGTAAAACAATAATCTCATGATTTTTTAAGCCATTATATATTTGGTAATTTGTGGCAGCAGGAAGAGGAAACTAATCCAGTAAGCTAGAGCATGGGAAGACAAATGAGGGCACAACTAGGCTCATGTTTTTTCTTAGAGAAGATGATATTTCCTGAGATGCATGCAGAGGATAGAGAATGGTAAGTAAGGGGATAGAAAAGCTTGTATAATAATTTCATATCATGAATTGGAAAATGGCCAACGAAATAATAGAATTTATCCTGAAATAAAAAAGGAAACAGTCTCATCACTTGTGTTAGCTTTCCTAACCAATATAAATTCAAATACAGAATAGAGAGGCATTTGTTGTGACTCTTTTATTTTATTTTTCAATGTGGGGAAAGGGAATGAAAGATGCACGGGTGATTTGAGGGCACTGGCTGATGAATGAGTCGTGTGATAAGCAATGAATCAAGTCTGGACAAGGAGAGTGCTGAACACAGGAAGGCTGATGAAGAGTGATCAAAAAAAGTGAAGTCAAATAGTTCAGAAGAAATGAGTTTAGTGGTTTGTAGAAGAAGGAAAAACTGAATGACATAATTATAGAATATAATAATCAGTGAGTAATCATAATGGTGAGCTCAAAAAGCAGAGTCTAGGATATTGGATGATTTATCATGTCTGTTTAACAGTGTAAAATCACTAGAAGTGGTACAGAATTGGAAAAGATAGCATTTGACTCAGGAATAAAAGTCTTCGTTTAAGAAGAGTAAGTCACAAAGAAGTAGACACATGTCAGAAATATGTGGACAACATAGTGTAAAGGGTCTTTTTCAAATGGAGCTAACAGTTTTCAAATAGAGCAGATTTTTCAGAAAGAGTCAATGACTTGAAAGTCATAATGGAAAGCAAGGATGATACTATTGCTACCTATGTGCATGAGAATATATACATAGGTTTAAAAGATATGTACAAAACCCATTGTTATAAGTAATCATTAGTGAGATAAGAAATGATTTAAAAACTTCTTCATAAACAGGACATACCTTAGCAATAGAGCAATGGTGATATAACATTACTCAGATTTCCTTATGTACCAGTCATTTATTTTAGACATTTATGAAAAGAGATATAATGAAGAAATTATTCTTTAAAATCTGACAAAGATCTGATTTAACCTGTTAAATACATACAATTTCCTAAAGCTGTTATTACAAATAGATGTCATAATGTGGTTGATCATTTATTTTTACTTACATACTAACACATAAGGGACCTCTGAATACTTCTAGTTTCAATACAGAAATTGATGATAGAATAAAAAAGAAAACGCTCTGAGGAAAGAAACTAAGCCCCCAGTGGAGTCTTTTCTTACATATTTGGTAGACTAGCTTTGGACAGACATGCATCCTAAAGTACTAAAGGAATCCTCAGGTGGCAGGGCCTCCAGCAAAAAATTTATTTCTATTAAATTTTGGCAGCTTATGATTTGAAACATTGGGGATTTCTAGTAGACCATAAAATTTCCAATTAATTCCATTAATTAAGGCACTTTAATGAAAGTGATAATTAATCCTTGATTGAACATAAATCAAATCTCACTTCTAAATTCAGATTGTTTAAAATAAGAGGACAGCAGATTAAGTTTATAGTATGAATTGAGACAAATTTTAGCCTTAGCTTCTATTTTGCTCACAACTAAAATGAAGCTACTTTAAATATGATGCGACAGTTGTGAGTGTAATTGTGTCTGTGGGCATTGCTTTATGATTGATATAACTAAGCATTTGTTTTCCTACTCTGCTGTTGCTGTGGTTCCCAATGGAAATTTGTTTTGCTATAATCATTCTGTTTAAATTGCACATTTATTTGTGAGGAAACGTGTGGATTTCTTTGATGCCATGTCAAGAAAGACAATTACAAAGCTATTTTTAGAATTCCATATCAGAAGTAATTTATTTCAATTTCAGAGGCATTTGTTAATTTGGTTAAAATTTTATTCAGTGCTTTTAGGAAAAAATGGCTCAAGGACAATATACTTTGGGAGTCTTATTTAGCAGTGATACACTGCCTTTATTTGGAGTTTCTTTGGTTAAATAAAGGCATTATTCATAAAATTCTAAGTAAATTTGATAATTAAAATAAAAGCAAAATAGATCAGAAAATAGATTTTTAAAATTATTTGAAGGGCACAAAATGGCAGCAAGGTTCAAGTGGATCCACATTTTGTTCACTTCCCTGAACATAACGATCTTGCACCAGTTTCCCTGGAGCATTTCAACATCTCTTTACATAAGAATTTATTTCATATCTGTGTAAAGGATACAAAAAGGAGTAATGAGGAGGTCATGGTCATGGCTGACTCATCACCCTACCTCTCTGAAATTTAGGTACAAAATTACAGAATTAAAAAAAGTTTTATCTTAGTTTAGGTATTGATATTAAAGACATTTTATTTTAGTTTGGGTAACCTATATTACACAAATATACTGAGCATTTTTGTTACAGAAGAATGAGTGTTTTTCATTTTTACCTTGGCTGCTTCATAAGGCCAAAGTGATGATGGCATGTCCTGGAAACCAGTGGAATGAGAGGAAAAGATGGAGTTATTGCATGACATCTTTATGGCCTTTTGGGGAAAAGATTCTATTAATTGCTGTTTTACTTGAGTTATAAGTTTATATATATATATTTTTACTTTTTGACTGACAGAATGTAATTTTTAGATAGTGTAATAGGCTAGAAGCATGCATATATATATATATGTATATATATATATGTGTATGTGTGTGTGTGTATACACATATGTATAAAACTAAAAAGAAAATCCTAAGCCTCAGCCCCGTCAACTGAACGGACACGCTCTTGGCCAAGGGGACACCAGACAAATCCTTAAACCTGAGTTCCAGCTATGATGAGATGAGAGGTCAGATCCGCCTACTCATACCCCCTGCCTTTTATAGTTTAGGCACAACTGACCAGCATTGATGTTAAAATAGAGATCCTAAGACTGACAGAACAGACTCTGTGTCAATAAGATACCAAATAATAAACAGGACCTAAGCCTATGCCAAGCAAGGATTAAGTCACGTACCCCTACACTTAACGAACAAAGTATATTCTAATAGTCACAGGAAGTTTTCTTTTTTTCTAGCAGTTAAACAAGCACTGGCCACAAGATAAGCAATATTAAAACAATTACGACTCATCCAGCTCATAGACACTGACTAACTGACATCCTGTTCCACCAGCCGGAACTACAGGTTTGATTGGACAACAGACTGATTTCAGTAAATTTCTTCTTATAAGAAAATCACTAACCAAGGACTGGCTTTGGCTGGTTTACAGAGGCTGCAAACTTGCACGTCTTCTTGTCCTGAAAAGGTCTTTGGAGATATAGGGCCTAATTGTAATATATTTAAATATTAGGTCTCTACCCCAAAATGAACATGGGGTATATGTTACATGTGCGTTTGTTCAATACACATGTGTCAGGACCACCTTCATGTATATTCATAGCTCCTCCTACCATCTATTAAATATGTATGTTTAGCCAACTAATTCAGCATAAACTCCTGCCTCAAACACTCCTCCATCAAAGTGCCTGTCTTTGTCTTAGCAGAAGGTTGTGCTTCTCAGTTTATGGAATGGCCATGTTGCAGTCTATAATACTTTATTTAAAAAAAAAAGTTTCATTTCATTTTCTAAATTAATTAATAACTTTTTTTTTTTTTTTTGAGACGGAGTTTCCCTCCTGTTGCCCAGGCTGAAGTGCAATGGCGCGATCTCGGCTCACCGCAACCTCCCGCCTCTGGGGTTCAAGCGATTCTCCTGCCTCAGCCACTTGAGTAGCTGGAATGACAGGCATGCGCCACCACCCCCGGCTAATTTTATATTTTTTAGTAGAGACGGGGTTTCTTCATGTTGGTCAGGCTGGCCTCGAAATAAATCACATTTTTTTAAGTTAACAAAATATTACCTTTCATCTGCACTGCTGCTCCAACCCATATGTGGTAGTAACTACAGGAATTAGGCATCTTTCTCCTCAGGGGGAACTATAATGGTAGGTCTACAGAAATCGATCTGTTTCCATCCCGGTTGATCAACATCCCCGTTATGTCTCACACTAGTCTGTGTCACAGCGACTTCATCCAAATCTCATCTCTCTGTTTTCTGCATGTCCTATGATTTGGTGTAATGCTCTATTCCTCCCTCTACTTTGTTCTCTTCTACTTCCTGATGACTTTACATCTTTATCTTAATTTAAAACTAGTTGTCCCTGGAAGGCATAGTTTTTTGTTTTTTGTTTTTTGTTTTCCTGTAGTCTATTCAAAAATAAATCGTACCCTTAAACCAACTGAATGTGTGGACTTTTTGAGTTCCAGTCTCCTCTCTTGCCAAATGTATCAGCTTCTTGGAGACTGATACTGCTTTGCAGTTTTCTCATTGTCACTACGTTCACCTGTTGAGCTCCTGATTCCTCACACCCACCTTCATGGACTGAAAAGATTTCAGCTACGTTTCTTAAATCCTTCAGTTGCTTCCTGTCATTTCCAAACGACGTCTAAACCCTAAAGCTGGTGGTATACAGGCCTCTATCTTTGCAACCCTTTCCTGCTATGCTTCCTCTTGCTCAGTGAGCTTTAGACATACTAGTTGTCTTTTAGAATCTGAAATATGTCCATTTTATCTCATTTCTGAGTCTTAATGCTTACTTTTTTTCTCTTCACAAGTCAGCTACTTCTCTCTTTTTTTAAGCTCCCTAATAAAATATCCTTCTTTCATGCTTGAGGTGTTAGGGAGTCCATTTGTTCACTACAATAGGACTTTCCATAATACTAAAGTAATTTCATTAATACTAGAAGTTAGGAGCCTCTCAGAAAAGCTGAGCTTCTGTTGTAAAGTTTGATACAAATTGTTCCAGTATTCAATTATTCATGGTGATTATGCTTTAACACTGTGCTTTAAAAAATGTGTTGTCAAAAAATATGTCTAACCTAACATACATCCAGGTGCCTTTTCTCCTAAGTGTTTGTTCATGGTCAAAAAATTGGCTTATGTCTTTTCATAGTAGAGAACATTCATTTGATTTTTATCAGCAAACTTCCATGACTGCGAGGCACTGGCAACCCTGAGACAACATTTAACTACTAATGGCAGTCTCAGAAACTCTTTATCAATCTCTTTCTTCTGTTTTGCCTCCAGGTGTGAAACTCCTCTACCATTGCATGTTGAACCACAATTTAAAACTCTTTTCCCCATTCCTTGTCACTGCACTTTCCAAGAATATTGCTTGTTTCTGATATATTACAGCCTCTAAAGAAGAAGCAGTGTTTGTATGTACACCATTCACACCGTGGGAGGCTGGTCTTCAGTGGATTTTGTCTTGGCACCTGAAGCAGGTGGGGTACCTAGATCAGTCTAAGCATATCTGATTTGAATTTCATCTTTATTTCCAGTAAATTATTGAAAATATATATTTAGACACATATTCGAATCCCATTTTTTTGCAATTCCTCCTATATTTACCATTCTTGGTTTTTGTTTAAACCAAATACTGTGTAACAATGCATGGTCCATACACACTGACACCCATATGATATACATAACATGCATGCACACAAGAACATCTACCCCAGGGCAATTATACTGATCTAAAAGAATAATCTAAAAGCTTCCTCAGACTCAGTGTGTTTAAAGGATGGCCCGAATCAGTTTAGCATCAGAACTCTTCTACTCCCACAGAGTTCAAGGGTTTTGATTGAATTTTATATGCAGCTGGTAAATGTACCTAATGATAATTCAACTGACATATCATGAGCCTCAGAAATATGTAGCCTACATATAAATTTGATCCAGAAATACAAGATAGAATTTACTTAAACGTCATGTTATTCCACAGTGTTTCAGAGTCAAGAGATTTGGAGAATTCCTGAGGAGTATCTGTGTAATGATTTTCTTTGACTCTTAAGTAATCTTTCCATTGTGCTGTGTGAATTGAATTCCCACACACACTTCCTTCAGAGCATTGTAAACTGTGTCTCTTTTTTATACTTACATTTTTCTTATACTTTCTCATATTTTCTTTTAGTTCTATACACACCAAATCTTTTGAGGTATCGTCTTTTCTCCCAAGTGATTAAATAACCATTTTTCCCAAATAATATTATTTTCCTCCTAAAAGGGCAATTTAGCAATCCTCTTAGTCTAATAAGATGTCTCAAGTTATGTAATATAATTAGTTATATTAAATGTTGTTGACTTTTCAATTATTGTGGCATGACTAGATTTTTGCCATAAATTATATTATCAGATTTTATTACTGATCTGTTTCTGTGTTTAACAGTATTTTATTTATGAAATAGGCTTATAATTCTCTGTGAGATTGTTTATATGTGTTTTCCATTTCTTCTTTTTATAAATAAATATCACAGGCTGCACTTGGAAGCTCACGTCTGTAATCCCAGCAATTTGGGAGGCTGAAGAAGAAGGATTACTTGAGCCCAGGAGGTTGAGGCTGCAGTGACCCATGATGGTGACACTACACTTTAGCCTGAGTGACCGAGCAAGACCCAGTCTCAAAAAGAAACAAAAATACATATGATAGACTTAAATAATAAAATATGGAGCTTTTCTCAGCTTTATATGTCCATTCAATTTGAATATTATAGGAATTATTCTCACTTCCAAATACGTTAGCACACATTGCATTATATTCATTCTAGATATATAGAATATATAATAGTTCTATAGCAGACATGTTGGCTATAGAAACATATCACAGCAGGACTCATCAAGCCAAATGAAAATTGTGTTAACAAGCATCTACAATCTCACTCTGCTATGCTGAGTGAGGGGTTCAAATATTTGCTGATGCTGCTGTAGCCCATAATATACTCAAGTGTGTAACCCCACTGCAGCTATTGAACTCAACACCAAGGCACCTGGAGATTGCTGTCAACTACAAATACCCGCCACAGCTCCTGCCAGGGCAAGAAACAGGAAAGAAAACATGTAATTTTTCTTTTTCTTTCTCCTTTGAATGCCTCTCATAGGCAGCACTTAACTAAAAACTAACTGTAGAAAAAAGAAAGATGAATGTGCACCTAATACCCACAAAGCAAAGGAGAAAATATGGGTAGGTAATATTGCTCTTCTTTCCATATCTTGTCACTGGACTGTACATAAAATTATCAACAACTTTCTTTCATTACTTTTTTCCATATTCCTTTTTCTTATTTGCATGTTCCTTTGTCCTCAGATGTTCTGAGTTAAATACCAAAATGCATCTTAGGTAGTCAGTGTTTGATATGTTGTAGCATGACTCAAATACTTATTTAGGGATAATCGGTCTTCAGTCATCCTGCTTACATATGGTTGCTATAGTCTTGCATTAACTTTATGGCTAGAGTAGCAGCACTATGAGGTACAATGGAATACTTCACAAGTTCCTGGCATAATTGTGCTTACATTCACAAGGTAACAAATTTGAGTAAGAAAAATGACATCACAGTCTCCACTGCATTTCTCTGTTTTTCCCTACTGGTCCCATAATATGATGAATATATAATGGCTGAAAGTCAATGTAGGCTTCTGGAACAGTGGAAGCATTGCAAAATTTTTTGTCAAAGCAAAAATCATAGAGGACTATGTTAAATAGGCAAAAAAAAAGAGACATTATACAAAACTATTCCAATAGGGGAGAGAGTCCAGAATTTAGTCTGAGCTCTACATCACTGAAAAAAAAAGATGAAAATTTTTAAAAGCTGGGGTGAGTGGCTTACTGGCCATCTGTGTTTACTGATTGGCTTGACTTAAAGGAAAAGTGAATTTTCTGGTATCTTCATGACAGGAAGCAGTTTCACAACTTGAGGCAAAGGAACCCATTCTTAAGCTCCCGCAGAAAACAGAAGATAGAGATCCTGTCTTCCTCAATGATTACAGTTCAAAATGATGATTCCTAGGTCCTTGAGAAAGACTAGTAAAGGCTCCTAAAAAGATTTACATTTCAAAGCTGTGGAGAAAAGATTACAATTTATATATTTTCCAAACTAAATACTTTAAGGAAATGGAGTTCAGGGCCTGGAGTCAGGAAGATGACTTTCTAAAGTTTAGTCTAATTGAGGAAATGTCGAGGCTGTCTTGGTCACTCCTGCTGAAATCGTTTTTGCATTAAACACTAAGACCCATAAACAACACCCACAATTTGTGTGCCTCTCTTACATCTCCTCTTTGGTTACCTGACCTCTCCATTTTGGATATGGGAGGAAGAGAATGATTTGTTGGTGACTAATTTAGAACAAGTGCTGCATCCTGAAGGGCAGCCGGACAGCTTCATGCCACAGTAATCTCCACTCTGCCTTGCTGTCCTCTATAGTCATAACTGTGAGAACTGGTCAATGATTAGTAAAACTGGGTTCATTCTATCATTCCCATTGAAAATTCAATAGCTACAACTCCCCACCTATACTAAGGGATTCCATAATATATCATTTGAGCTTTTTCCAAGGATATTAGCTCTTTCTTCACAAATGAACTGTTCAAGTAGTGGTGAAGGAAGTCACTTCCAGGCCTGGTAGGGAGACTTAGTTAATACATGAGTAAACCAAAAATGCATAAGTCCACTTGAATACCCCGATCTCTTAAAGTCTTCAGATCCTTTCTTCTAAAAATACTGTATGGAATACAAATATAGTGTTAAATGCATATGTGTTTTTCAAATCTTTTAGTCATACTAAAAAAATGCAAAAGATTTTAATAATACATTTTATTTAATATATCTAAAATATCACTTTAACATGTAATTAATATAAAATTTACTAATGATATTTTACTTTTATTTTGTATTAAGGCTTCAAAATATGGTGTATATTTTACACTTAAAACACATCTTGATTTGGACTAATCACATTTCCATTGCTTGGCAGTCACATTTGGCTAATGAATACTGTACTGAACAGAACAGTTCTTGACTACAACCAGAAATTTCTAGTGTTTTAATCACATGCTGAGTATGGAACTACTGAGTCTGCTTCAGAGATGTGTCAGAGAGAGAAAGTGAGAAAGAGACAAAGAGAAAATTCCTAGCTGCTAGATAAAATACTTTGAACTCAGCACATTTTTCCTCCCGTCTTCTTAGTTTAGCAAACTCACAAATTACCCATGGTTTTGAAGGTATAGATTTAAAAACCTTGCAATACTTTTGACATCCCAGGTTCAGCTTCTTAGCTGGCACCCTGGGATAGCCTGGGATGTTAACAGGATTACAGATCAAGACGCATTCAGGAATGGTAAGGATGAAGCAAATTGACAGGCCCTTAAAAGATAGCTACTTAAATTGAGGTCTTAATGGATTTTAAATTAATGCAAGTCAGATTTCATCAGACAGTGAAAGAGTAACCACCTCTGCTGACTAGAAAGGCTCGATGAATTTCGAACTTTTGCTTCTCAAGATTATCTAAATACTTCTGAATGTCATTATTCCAGCTATCAGGCCCCATTATTCCTAATGAATAACTTTGACAGAAGAAATCTGGAAGTCTGTTAGTTCAATCGACATCATAATTCATATCCACCAGTAACAAAGTCTTTGTATGGCTTTTGATGATAAAAACTTACGGACTCTTTAGATATTTCTTGAACAGGGAACTGAAATTGTTGTTTTCTTTCTTCAATCTTTCAGTATTGTGAGAAGCATTTATCCCACTCACTCTATAACCTCTATCTTTTGTGTGCCCAGAACAAATGCTATGTTGGTCAATATTTGTTCCTCCATAGTTATGCTGCCAGTAGGCATTTTGTTCCATGTCACTACAGGTGATTATTTAAATGATAGTTTTGCCACTGTGCACCTTAGACTACTTTGTTTTCATTCTCTCATGTTAGAAATGTTAAACTTCATTCTTTTGCCTTTAAAACCCAGAGGAGATTAGATAGCCAACCTCAAAATCCCATTGTTCCAGGGTTGGCTATTTGCAATCATGTCTGTTATTGATTACTTTATAACTTAGGTTTCATCTGCACTTCATGTTTCTTTAAGCAAAAGGGAATTTAATACAATGAAATATAAAAGTAGACCTGAACTATGAACTATTTGAGAGACTCAGAGAGAATTAGAAACTAGTTGTACACAGCATGGTACAATTTTGAAGTAAGTAGATTTCCATTGATAATTCTATTTAGTGGTTTTATTTCCTATTTTATTATGAATGATACATTATTATTTTTAAATTAATGCAATTATATTTATTGATCATTTTCAATGTGCCATGCATCTTGAGATGAGATGTGCTTTATTTTCATAATTATATTAGTTGCATGAGAACCATATAAGATTAGTAGTATGACAATGAGTTATTTGCCAGTAAAGACATGAGGAACAGGGTGGTGAAGCCAAATAACTGTTAAGAGCCAGTGCCAAGGCTTAAGTACAGTCTCCATCCCAGTCTGAAAACCTCATGTTTTCAAATATTATGTTACACAGTCTCACAAAATATAAACTAACAAATGCAATTATAGTAATGACTAATTTTTACTGGAATAGCCAACACCTGTCAAGCTAATATTTAAAAACTACTAAATTTTTGTCTCTTCTTGTGCCATGTATTGGTTAACCTAAGAAGAAAAATAAAGTTCAGAAGGCTGCATTAGTGTTTTGACTTACAGCCTAGTTATTACTTCACAGGTAAATCTCAGTGAATATTCTAGATGATATTTAAAGGACATTTCTAATGCCCTTTTCTTTGCTTGTAGGATGTGCAATATCTATGGCATATTATATTCTTGAGGATAATTGGTTGTATTTTTTTTCAAGGAGAAAAATTTAAAAAGTAACTACGAATTCTATTAGGATACTTTGAACATATTTCTTTCTTTCTTTCTTTCTTTCTTTCTTTTATTTTTGAGTTGGAGTCTGGCTCTGTTGCCCCAGGCTGGAGTGCAGTGGCTCCGTCCCCAGTAGAGACGGGGTTTCACCGTGTTAGCCAGGATGGTCTCAATCTCCTGACCTCGTGATCTGCCCACCTTGGCCTCCCAAAGTACTGGGATTATAGGCGTGAACCACTGCACCCGGCCCTACTTTGATCATATTTCTTCTTTTTTTTTTTTAATTGTATTATTATTATACTTTAAGTTTTAGGGTACATGTGCACAACGTGCAGGTTTGTTACATATGTATACATGTGCCATGTTGGTGTGCTGCACCCATTAACTCGTCATTTAGCATTAGGTATATCTCCTAATGCTATCCCTCCCCCCTCCCCCCACCCCACAACAGTCCCCGGTGTGTGTGATGTTCTCCTTCCTGTGTCCATGTGTTATATTTTAAAATATTAAAACCTATGTACACAAAAGTGCAAATATAAGCATGCATTTCAATGCATTAATGTAAAATGAACCTATGTAAACTTCATCCAGGTCATGAATTATAATATTACCTTCACCTTAGAAGCCTCTCTTTTAACTTTTCAGTGATCACCCTTACGTATTCTCCAAGACAACCTTGTGATAACTTCTAGTTCCATATATATTTTGCCTGCTTTTGAAATTTATATAAATTAATTGTAGAATGTATATTCTTTTGAATTTGGCTTTATTGGCTAAGCATTATGTTGACTAAAATAATTTATGTTGTTTACATCTCTAGTTAGTTGGTTTTCTTTGATGTGTAGTATTCTATACCATTATGTATCCATTTTACTGTTGATGAACATTTGCTTTTTTAAATTATGAATAATGTTGGAATAAAACTATTATAACTTTTGATGAATATTTACACACATTTCCATGAGTTATTTACTCATGTTTTACATTACTAGAAAATTCTTAAGAATTTTAGGTAGTGGTAGATTTTGACTCCCATCGATAGTATATGAAAGACCTATAGACCTTCACAAACACACACTTAGCATTGCCAGTCTTTTCCTTATAATAATAATAGTTCAATTGAGTCAGTAACAAAGTCTTGTTTATTATGAGTGTGCATTTATATGACTGTTAATGTAGTTGACTATTTTTTCATATGTTTGGCTCAGTATCTCTTCAAGTATCTTATCCAGTTTTAAATTACTTTATCAGTCCTTCTTGATTTATAAAAAATCTTTATATATTGATGTACACACATATATATGCATACATATATACATATGTACACATACACATATACAAACACATATGCACATACATATACATGCACACATATACATATTAAACACCAGTCTATCAGTTTTGTGTTTTGTGAGTCTTACATCACACCTAGTGACTTGTAGTTCCATTTTTTAATCATGTCTTTTGAAGAAAGAAATTCTGATAAAGAACATACTCTTGTGAGAAAGTAAACGTGGTATCTAAAGAGCAGTTTGCATGAATTACTCGTCTAATAAGTATTCTGACTTTGACATTTCCTTTTAATGTAAGAAAATTATCCACTAGCTTCCCAAAGTGACTGAGTTTCTTGACTATAATTGAGAGGTCACAAGGCTTTAAGTAGCAACCCCTATAAAATACAAATTAAAAAGAAAGTATTTCAAATGAATACCTATATTTAATAATCTTCTTTTACTGTGAAGACTACAGTTGTTCATGCATTGGTACTTCTAGTGGAATTTTTGTTAAAACTCTCTCACACTCAAGAGGAGTTTGTTCACATAGCAACAGCATAATAAATTTTGTTTATTCTCCTAGCCTGATAGCACTTCAGACTTTAGGTTCTGACTGGCATTGATCTATTTTATTCTTCTCTGTAAGCTGGGGAATATGCATTGCTCAATTTCACAGGAGACTAGACCCTATAAATTTCTGCTATTTTCAACATTTCTAACATTTTCATGTGATATTTAAAAAGTATGTCCATTTTCGAATTGCTTCAGAGCAGTTCAGTCTTTGTTTCGTTATAGATTTAAAAACTTTGTTTTTTGTAGTATTATGAAATATATTTCATTTTATTCTTTCCTTTGCAAAACACAAATAATAAAAAACTTTGTCTCTTAATCTACTTGAATGCAGGTCTTCATATTATGTGTTTTATCCTTTTTTCTGGACATTTTATTCTAGCTTTTAAATTTCAATGTGATGAGATATATGTTATATGAGTTTGTCTGGGTATCTATGTGTGTGTATGTGTGTTTTCACTCTAGAAGTTAACTTTAAGTCTGGTTTCTAAAACAAGAAGTGAAAAGATGTTTCATTTTCTCAGGGTGTGCTGTAGTTTGAATATTTGTCCTTTCTATAACTCATGTTGAAATTGAAAGCACAACATGGCACTGTTGAGAGATGAGGCCTTTAAGAGGTTATTAGGTCATAAGGGCTCCACCCTTGTGAGTGGATTATCTAATAATAGATAAATGGGTTATCATAGGAGTGGGAGTGGTGGCTTTATAGGAATAAGAAGAGTGACCTGAGCTAGCATGCTCAGCCCCTTCACTGTGTGATGCCCTGGGGCACCTAGGTACTCTGTAGAGAGTCCCCACCAACAAGAACAGCCTCACATTAGAATATAGCTCCTCAACCTTAGAATTCCCAGCCTCCGTACTGTAATAAATAAATCCATTTTCCTTATAAAGTAGGTGTCAGATATTCCGTCATAAACAACAGAAAACAAACTAAGACAGTGTGTCTTTCTCAGGATGTCCTGCAATATTCTGACCACGTTGCAAAGTTGCTTTCTAGGAAAAATCTTCCCCTAGTTCAGTCACAGAAAATAGCCCATTATACCATCAATTAATTAGAATCATGAATCAGGATATAAGAAACAGAAATGTACAAAGAAATATTAACCATAGCATGAATATTTCATTCCCTGTCAGAGTTCTTAATTTCTTCAATAATATCAAAAAAGATGCTTGAAATTGGTTATAAATGAGGAAGAAGCTCATTTAAATATATTGCATATTTTGACATTCTACTATTAACCCTCAATTTAATGAATAAACCTCACCAAGAAGAGTTAATTTTGCAATGATACACAACAAAATGAAGAATAAAGCCGGGTGTGGTGGCTCACGCCTGTAATCCCAGGACTTTGGGATGCCAAGGCGCACAGATCACGAGGTCAGGAGTTTGAGACCAGCCTAACCAACATGGTGAAACCCCGTCTCTACTAAAAATACAAAAATTAGCCAGATGTGGTGGCGCGTGTCTGTAATCCCAGCTACTCAGGAGACTGAGGCAGGATAATCGCTTGAACCCGGGAGGCAGAGGTTGCAGTGAACTGAGATCGCCCCACTGCATTCCAGCCTGGAAGACAGAGCAAGACTCCAAAAATAAAAATAAAAATAAAAGAATTAGAATTAAACAGTATTGTAAAACAACAGATTTCACCCGTGCTATCCTATAGGCCTGGGAAGGTGATCCTGAATGTAATAGAATTTGACCAGTTTGTAAGAAATATAGGAATTCTTTAATGGATGTAGTCTGGCCTCAATATGACAAATATCTGCCATTTCTGCAATATATTGCTAGTACACACACAAGATGAGAAGTGATTTTTTTGTTTTTGTTTTGTTTTTAATATATATAGTAGTGTTCTGTTTGGGGTAGTAAATAATATATCAAAATTACACCAGTTTACAAATAAGCTTTATCTTAGGACAAGGCCTGTCATGATTTTCTCTTTTAAATATTTGCCATAGCCTAGGTTCTAACTAAAAGGCCTAGTTTTTGTAAATAGTTTCATGGCAGAGCAAGGTAGTTGAGGTAGAAAAGTGGTAGTATTTATTACTTGGTAGGGCAAAGTAGTGGAGAAACGGAAGCCTGGTGAGTGTGAACTAATTAATTATAAATTTAATTTTGCAGTAATCTATTCAGCTAGATAGCTGTCATGAAGTTGAACTGCCCTTAAAATTAAGTTCAGTATAGTGAAAACCTTGATTTTTCTCAAGGCCTGGTCATAGTTCAAATCACTGAATTCTAAACTGTTAGATGTGTTAGGTAGAATGTTAAGACAGTCCCAATGAACTTCACCTTGTGGTATTACTCTTGTGTTTTTGTTACATAATATGGAAGAAAGTAGATGTCCTCACTGAGTCTAATTATGTGACTCCTTTAAAAGCAGAATTTTCTCTTGCTAGTAATGGAAGAAGTCACAAAAGTTGGAAGTGTGAGAACAATTCCACAGACCACTTCTGGTTTGAAGATAGAGGTCTCATGAGAGGAAATGCAGGTAGCCTATATATGTAGAAAGCAGACCCCAGTTGACAGTCAGCAAAGAAACAGGTACCTCAGACTTGCAAAAACAAGAAAATAGATTATTTCTGCAACCTTAATGAGCTTGGAAAAGAATTATTGCCCAGAGCCTTCAGATAAGAGCCCAGCCCAACCAACAATTTGAATTTAACTTTTGTGGTTTTTAAGAGAACCCAGACAAGTCCAAGAAACTTATGATCTACAGAACTGTAAGACAGTGAATTAGTGGCTGCAAGCTGCTAAATGTGTGGTCATTTGTTGCACAACAGTAAGAAAACACAGATTTTGGTACCTGGAAGTGGGATGCTATCTTAACAGAAACTTAAGAGTGTCTTTGGAAGTGGTCAGTGAGTGGAGACTAGAAGAACTTTAAGGAGCATAAGAAAAAGTGTACATGTCCTTGAGCAAACTGATGCAAGAAATATGAGTGTTGAAGGTGTTGCTTTTGAGGGTTCAAAAGAAAGAACTTGTTATTGGAAATTGGATGATTAGAGATCCTTGTTATATAGTAGCAGAAAGCATAGAATTTACAACACAAATTTGTAAAACTTTCTTAAAATGTTATGAGTTTTTTGTGATTTATTTTTAGCTCATCCACTATAATCAGTGTTAGTGTATTTTATGTGTGGCCCAAGACAATTATTCTTCATTCAATTTAGCCCATGGAAGACAAAAGAGTAAACACCCCCATTAAATGATGAATGTTGATATTTAACTGAGATGACTTCCAAGCAAAATGTTGAAGATGTCACCTGGTTTCTTCTTGCTACTTACAGTAAAAATGCATGAGGGGAGAGATGAATTGAGAAAATAATCATTAAGTAAAATAAAATGAGGACTTTATTTAGAAAATGCCCAATCTAACCTGATTAAAATTAAGAGACAATTTACAAAAGAGTGGTGCAGGAAAAATAAGTGTATTCCTATACAAGCTTAAGCTGCTCAATGATCAAAAGGCCAGAGAGTCCATTCACAGGAGGTTATGTGTGTGCCTCAGATCTTCTCACTAATACTAGTAAAACTAGAGGGTCTCTAGGAAGCTTTGGGGAACAGTCCCTTGTACCTCCAGCAGAAATAACCCAAAATAGAGAAGGTATTATTGTAGAAATATCTGTAGGCAAGATTTTTCTCCAAATAGAGTAAATCCACATAAAATCTATGCAAAGCTCACAAAATTCTTCTGAAAACTATATTTTTATGGGCAATTCCAGCTTGGTCAGACATATGATTTGACTCTGTGTCCCCACCCAAATCTCATCTCCAATTGTAGTAATCCCCATGTGTCAGGGGAGGGTCCTGGTGGGAGGTGATTGAATCATGGGAGTGGATATTCCCCTGCTGTTCTCGTGATAGTGAGTTAGTTCTCAAAAGATCTGGTTGTTTGAAAGTGTGTTGCACTTCACCCTTCATGCTCTCTCTCTCCTGTCACCATGTAAGACGTGCCTTGCTTCCCCTTTCCTTTCTGCCATGATTGTGTTTCCTGAGGCTTTCCCAGCCATGTGGAACTGTAGTCAATTAAACCTCTTTCCTTTATAAATTACCCAGTCTCAAGTAGCTCTTTATAGCAGTGTGAAAATAGACTAACACAGTCTGAAAGGTCAAAGTGCATGCTAAATAAAATAAGGCTTTATTCAGAAAGTTATTAAAATAACCTTAACATTTTAAAATCATAATTTTTCATTTAATCATACTGGTTTTATTATTAATCACAGTTAATTTCTGAAAAAAGTCTAATAATATAATTTCCAAACACTAAATTTAGTACAGTGAAATTAAATAGATGCAATTAATGTATTTAAGTGATTTGAAAAAATTAGCAATTTGTCAATGAACTCAAGAAAAATCAAGTTAACTGAGGATGCCCTACACAACTAACCCTTTTTAAAAATAAATTATATTTTAACTTGTATCATAAATATTGGACCAATGATTCTATTTCCTGTTGTTTATAAAAGTAAATCATTGTTTAAACCGCATTAGCATGTTCATGTGCTGTGGTGTATAAAAAAATCATCTTATAATAAAAATGTGCTTTGGGCCTATGTATACTGTCTACATGACAGGAAGGAACCAGCTATCTGAAGATGGGGCAGAAGAAATATTCTTAAAACAAGAGAAGAGTTGATGGAAATATTCTAAATCAAGGAAAAACAGGCATTGTCAGGTGCTATGGTTTGAATGATTTTGCCCCTTCCAGAGTTCATATTAGAAACTCAATCCCCAAGGCAAGTTTTAGAAGGTATGGCCTCTGAGGGCTGATTGAGATGTTAGGGTTCCATCCTTATAAATGGAATTAGGTACCCTTGTAAAAGAGAGCTGGACAGAAGGAGTTTGCTCCTTCTTGTCCTTCTGCCTTTCCCCATATGAAGACAGAGTTCTTTCTGTCTGGAGAATGCTGCCCTCAAGATACCATATTCGAAGCAGAGACTGGGCTTTCACCAGATACCAAACCTGCTAGTGCTTTGAAATGAACTCCCAACCACCAGACTAAAAAAAATAAAATGCTGTTCTTTATAAATTACCCAATCTCAGGTATTCTGTTATAGCAACACAAATAGATAAAGACATCACAGAATCTCCAGCCTGGGTGACAGAGTGAGACTCCATCTCAAAAAAAAAAAAAAAAAAAAAAAAAAAAAGAAAAAGAAAAAGAAAAAGACATCACACAATCAAAAAAAGGCGAAGTCAATGTACCAGTTATAGAGGTATGGTACTTTTGGAAATAAACCAGTCTAAAAAGTTGTCAATTTAATCAAGGTGCAATGAAAAGTCATTAGATTATTTTAAACACAGGGATGACTTAACAAACTTAAGTTTCTACTGATTTAGAATACAGCAGAAATAATGAGATATCGCTTCCAATATTAAGCAATAAAAAGATCGCTGTTGTGTCTTGGGAGCTCTTTGTCTTTTGCTTTTAGGTAAGCTGACTGCCATATTATAAGTTGCCCTGCGAAGAGTCCTTTATGGCATGGTATAGAGAGAGCCTCTGGCCTATAGGCAATGAGAAATTCAGACCCTCAGTCCAGAGACCTGAACAGAATTTTGACAATAACAATAAAAATAACTTGTAATGGAATCCACCTCCATTTAAGCCTTCAGATGGGACTGCGGCTCTGGCTGATAGCTTGACTATAATGTCATGAAACACCTGGAGCCAGAGGCATCCAAGGAAGCAACCTTGGAAACCTTGTAAGCGTTCTTGGAAACTAGGATATAATACATGCTACTTTTAGACCATACAGTTTTGATGTAATTAACATGTTACGTAACAGCGGTGTGAATGGTCAAATCTTTAAGATGTAGTTCATTATCATATTAGAATAATACAATGCATGTCAAGGTAGTGTATCTAAATTTCACAACTTGTGTGTAAAAATATGAAATATACAATTCTACTAGCTGTAACTAAGAAGTTAAACAAGTTTGCCACATTACTCATGAAATTGCAATGTATGGAGTGCCAAACCACTTTTGATTTCTCCCTGCTTAGATGACATTGCTGTATCAACCAGATGTTTCCTTTCTTTGAAACATACTTTTTTAAAAAATTAAATATTTAAAAATTGGCAATAAGGTTAGGTGTTGATAGAGAGAGGTGATGATTTTGCTTATGCAATAAAACAACAATAAGTGAGAAAAATGCTATAAGAATGTAGAAACTAGAAGAGAAAGGAAAACGTTGAAGATGTAGGAGACAGTTTATAGCAGCATGACAAAGAGAAGTAGATAGATGGCGATGAGCTGAGTCATATTAATAGTGGAACATTAGGGGAAAGATTTATTAACTGCTGCAGTTACTTATTGGTCTAGAACTGCCTTAAATCTTCCAGGGTCCATGATTTGTATGAGTGCTCTATGAACTTTGAAAATGTTATCCCCATAATGGCAGCTTTAAACTAGAAATATAATGTAGACCCATATGCAATTTTATCGTGTTAGTAGCTACATTAAAGAAAGCAAATGAAAACAGGTAACATTTATTTTAATAACATTTTATTTAACTTATTTTCCTCACAGATCATTATATCAATGTGTAATTATCATAACATTTACTAATAGAGATAATTTAACATTACTTTTTTTTCTTCAAAACGAAATGTGTACTAGTTACATTACAATTTGGACTGGCCATATTTCAAGCACACAATATCTACATGTGGCTACTGGCTACCACAGCTCAGCCCCTATATAATTCCACACATATTCTTTTCCTATAATCACATAAACATTGTCTATTATGAGAGAGTTTCGTTATTTTCAAAGAAAATAACTTAAAGAAAATATAAATTCAGCATAGCTAATTGAATTTGTAGGAATTATTTAAAAACAACTAATTTAATGTGGAGGAGGGAGGCAATGTCCTTGGATCATATTATAGGATATGTGGAGTTTTATTTTAATTTGTCTTAATTACTTGGTTAAAGGTGAAAGATATTGATGAATTGAGAATAAAATTCACCAGGAAGATGAAGATGTGAGGACATCTCAGAAACAATTCTTTAGGGCTCAACAAAGCCGCATCCACCAACTCTACACTTGTTAGAAATTACGACATACCTCCAAATTGAAAGCAGATCTTTAAACTGAACCCCACAATATATGACAGGAAGGCATAGCTTAAAAGCATCAATTACACCAAACTTAGAGGGGTTAGTTGTAAAATCCTAATAGTACAGCAGTTTTGTAGTTACATTTGCCTTCGGGACAGTAAGGGTAGCTGGAGAGAGGTGGTGATGGTTCCTCAGGCTGCCCTAGACAAGACTATACCTAAGAGTGGCTCTCAGTTTTTACTGAGACACATGAAGAGAGGTTTTAAAGTTGGAAAGTAGAGTTGCTAGTGTAAACCAGGGACTCAAAGCACATTTTAGGGGGACGTTTTAAGATGTTCAATCTGAAGAACTGTAGGTGGTGTGTGTGTGCTCGTGTGTGTGTGTGTGTGTGTTTACACTGGTTGTGGGGAATGGGAGTGACAGTTTATGAATGCACTGCAAAAACATTGAGAATTTTTTGCTTTCTTCAAATACTTGAGTTATTTATATTTGAAAGAAAAATGAAGAATACTCCAAATCAGAAGAAATAATTGGGAAGAGTGGTATACAAATCTGAAAGGCTTTATCTGTATTTATCTTAGAGCTCTCCTCATAAGAAGCTTGGTCCCTCAAAAGCAGCAGTTATCTGATTGCTGTGATTATTATATCAAAACATAGATGATTTGTGGTCTAGATTTACATGTGATCCCTTTTATTTCTGAAAACCTGTTATTCTTTGAACCATGTGCATGTTTTGGTATTCTAATAATGAACAATAAAAGAAAAAAATTAAATAAAACACTGTAAATTTTTACAAAGTATGTACTGGCTACCCTGAAATAAAATTTGACATGATGTTGTTGCCAAAGCATTCATTTCTAGTGTTCTTTTTAATGCATTTATATACATATGTAAATGTGCATGTGTTTTTGTGCAATCTTTTATTCCTAAAGATAATCATACTATGCACATTTTTGTATGTTACTCTTTTTATTTAACAAAATATTACTTCTCTCCAGACCAGTACCTGGAAGCCTAACTCATTTTTAATAGTGAAATACTATTCCAAAATACTAAAATATCATAATATATTTAATCACTTCACTATCAACAGACATTTATACATATTCAGTTCTAACTATAAGTAAACATATTTTCATACCTGTAAAAAATTCGAAGAGGAGGAATTGCCCTGTCAAATAATAAACATTTCAATATTGATGTAGTATAAAAATAAATACATATATTGAATGGCTTTCATGTATAAAACATAGCTCTAACAAGCAACATCCAAACAGTAAATACATCACAAAATAATACATTTCTAAGTACCTAAATTATCTTACATTCTTGCCTTCTGAGCAGCTTTGAAATTCCCCTTATAAAAGTAAATAAATAGTTCCATAGTCTTTGCTTGAATATATCAATAACATTCAATTCAATATATCAACGAAGTACTGATGTTACATTAATTAATTATGTGCTGTTATTTTCTGGATATTACATATTTCAGTATTTTCTGAATATTGTTTATTCTCAAATTAGAAGTTTATGATTTTCCAAAGGCCAGACACACACACACACACACACACACACAGAGGCACATACACACCACACATGTTAACTTTTACACATTAATTTCAAATAAAAAATGTACATAAACATTATGAATCTTTCTTCAAAATAAAGAATATGCACCATGCTTAAACAAATTAATTTATGGCCTTGCACAGTGGCTCACACCTCTAATCTCAGCATTTTGGGAGGCTGAGGCAGGCGGATCATGAGGTCAAGAGATCGAGACCATCCTGGCCAACATGGTGAAACCCTGTCTCTACCAAAAGTACAAAAATTAACTGTGCATGGTGGCACGTGCCTGTAGTCCTAGCTACTCGGGAGGCTGAGGCAGGAGAATCTCTTGAACCCGGGAGGCGGAGGTTGCAGTGAGCCGAGATCGCACCACTGCACTCCAGCCTGGCAACAGAGCAAGATCCCATCTCAAAAAACAAACAAACAAACAAACAAACAAACAAGTTAATTTATGTTATTAAATGTCTTTGCTCTGAAAAGTTTAAATGCATAAAACTAGTGTCAGAAGAAAGTCTATTTTGTTTTAAAAGTATACCTTAAAATGTATTTTCTAAACTTTTAAATATAATATCAGTTTACATTGCGTATGAATACTTAGGATGTAACAATTTAAAATAAAACCTAAAATTGAATAACTATTTTTCTTATATACCTGATATACAAATCATTTAATGGAAACATTCTGAATTATTTTTAAATGTATGTCCTTTTAGAGTATCTTACAAGCATGCTATGCTTGTTTTTTCTTTTTACTACAGTATTAGTTGCATATATATATGCAAGTGCTGCTTGCCTACATTTGATTCCGTACATATCTTAATTCTAGTCAATTTCAATCAGGATCACTCCACAATCCCTTGGCTGCCATATACTGTTGAATTATCCTTGTAAGTAGTCTCTGTTGCCTCATTCAGAGGCATTTCAAATTAGGTAAGACCCATTTCAATTACTGAGAACTGAAAAGTACTGTCTGAACCCAATTATATAATATTATTAAAATGCAATGCATTTCTATTTTAACAGTTTAAGTTCTATATTTGTTTATTAAAATACTAAGCTTACAAGTTGATAAAAAAACAACTGCTAATATACAAAATTGCTAATCCTTTAAATGTGCAGCCTAATTTGTCATGTCCAAAGATACATATATCTAGACAGTTTGTAATGACTGCTGCTGAACTTGTCCAGGCATAATTTATGTATACACTTTTGCATGAATCTTCATTTTATCTTCAAAATATTAGAAATATATATCTTAAATAATTTTACTATTGTAACATCCTCCATTTAAGAAATTCATTTTCATTTTTACATTATGTAAAAAACAAATGTTACAAATATTTCAAGTTAAAGCTTAAAGAGATGTTCACATTATAGACATTATTGTAAATATCTGGTCTATTTAAATTGTTATTGTTTGGTTTTGGTTGAATAATTTATTTTACCTTTTGTTTTCAAAGAAGCATAAATTAGATACAATATGCTGACATATTTGGGGCTAAATTATTTATAGCATTTTAAATATTTTTCTTTATGATATCTTTCTCATAACATAATTAAATATGAAATACTGAGATATTTGTTGTCACTTCAAAGTATGAAAACTGCATGACACAACTGAATAGGAATAAATAGTATACATATGGAATTGACTCATATACATGCTATTATTGCTCCCACTCATTTATTAATAAAAATTAATCCCAGATCTTACTATTAGGGATTTCATTAAAAATTGGGACTAGTTCCTCCTCTATAGATTATAGGATAGCAGTAAAAACATAAGTAAATTATAGAAAAATGGTATTCTCTTTCACAGAACAAACTCAAAATGGATCATAGACCTAAATGAAAAACACAAAACTATAAAACTTCAGCAAGCTAATACAAGAGAAAAACTAGGTGACCTTGGGTTTGGCGATAACTTTTTATATACAACAGCAAAAGCACAATCCAAAAAAGACAAAATTGATAAGCTAGATTTCATTAAAATTAAAAACATCTGCTCTGGGGAAAACATTGCTAAACGAGTTAAAAGATAAGCCACAAACTTGAAAAATATATTTTCAAACCACATATCTGATAAAGGACTTGTATTCAAAATATACAAAAATTCGTAAAACTTAACAATAAGAAAAAAAACAATCCAACTAAAGAGTGGACAAAAGATGTTGCTATATACCTGATTAAAGAAGACATACCAGTTGCAAAAAAACATGTGAAGAGATGCTCACTAGTATATATCATTGAGGAATTACAAATTAAACAATGAGAAGCCAACGTGCATCTATTAGATTGACTAAAATCCGATAACACTGAGAACATCAAATGCTGGCAAGGATGTAAAGCAACAGCAATGTTCCTTTATTGCTGGTTAGAACCCAAAGTTGGATAGACACTTTGGAAGACAGTCTGGTGGTTTCTTACAAAGCCGAACATAGTCTTACCACATGATCATACTCTTAGTTACTAAGCAAATCCTACTCTTAGATATTAACCAAAATTACTTAAAAACCTATGCCCACACAAAATCTACTTGCAAATGTTTATATCACATTTAATCAGAAGTGAAAAACACTAGAAGTAACTAATAGATAAATAAATAAAGAAACTGTGTTACATCCATATAATCCGCTGTTATTTGGCAGTGAAAACAAATGAACTAACAAGCTGCAAAAAAAAAAAAAAAAAAAAAAAAAAAAATGGAAGAACATTACGTGCATTATTACTAAGTGAAATAAGCCAGTTTGAAAGGCTACATGTTGTATGATTCCAATCACACGAAATTCTTGATAAGGCAAAACTATGGAGACAATAAAAAAAGTCAGTGGTTGCAGGATTGTGAAAGAGAGGACCCAAGACACGAATAAATGGAGTACAGGGCACATTCAAGGCAATGAAAATATTCTATACAGTACTTTACATTATTTATCATTGTATGTAATACCTGACATTGTGCATTTGTCAAAACCCATAGAACTATACAACACAAGGAATAAACCCTAAGGTAAACTATAAAATTTAGTTAATAACAATGTATCAATGTTTTTCATCAGTTTCAACAAACATACTGCACTGATGAAAAATGTTAACAGGCCGAGTGCAGTGGCTCAAGCCTGTAATCCCAGCTTCCTTTTTCATGTCTAAACATTATTTCCTTGTCTTATTTGAGGTAAAATAGGGTCATGATTCTCCTTCAACTATTGAAATGTTAAAGAAGGAACTAGCGAGGTGCTGTGGGAAAAGGAGAGGTAGAGGCTTTAAGTGATGGATTTGCAAGCATTACAAAGACCATAGACAAATTACTCAGAAATAAAATATATTTAACACTCACGTGTACCTTTAAGAAGCAAAAATTATTATGTGGACATGTCCTAACATCTCATACATTAGTGGCTGTTATCCAAAAATGCAGAAAAATAAGAATTTAGGCATTCAGTTTCACTATGATGCTGAATAAATTTGGAAAAAATACATGAGTATTAATTTTACTATGCAAACTACAATATCAAAAAGTATTTGCTATAGAAGGTGAATGAATTACATTTTAAGTGGAAAAAATATGCTAAGCACCCTCATCCCAGTTTTCTGTCTAAGTTATGGGTCATTTTGATAATTTAAAATTTTTTTTTATATTTAGGAAAATAAATCAGTTTGCTGGAAATATAAAAATGTAGATGTAGTGAGTTGCCTTACAGAATGGCAGAATATGAAGTAATTATTACCTAATTGTCCTTTTGTATCAATAAATTAACATAATTTGATGAAAAATGATAATTTTTATGATTTAATGATGATTTTTAAATTTCCCAACTCTGGTGTCAAAATAGAATAGTCATCATCTAGGTTAAAGTGTTGGTTAGGATCTATGTTTTTCACATAATATTATGGACTTCATGGATTATTTGAAGAATACAGAGCCAATTTATTCTTAATGGCCCAGAATTGACTTCAATTATGGCTGAACATATAAGAGAGATTTTGCTTTGACCAAATTATTTTTATGTGCCAAATAATTGCTTTAATTAAGTGCCGATTTAGGTCATGATTTTCAATTTCCTTGATGTGACATACAACAAGAAATAACTTTATGAAGACTATTATTCTTTTTACTTTAGAGATACATTGACAGTATAAATTCTGATACTCAATGAATCCAGTATGAAGGCCTATGTAAAAATGTTTTTCATGGCTAAATGTCTGTATAACCATATATTTCCTATAAGGCAATATTATGGTTTATTCTTCCAAATGATGTATGTTGTCAACTCTTGACAGCTGACAGTTTTTTAGTTGTAAACATAGTATCAGGAGCTAACAAGATATGAAGAAAATTAGGTAGAAATATAAAAAATAAATTATTTTACAGTATTATCCAACAGAGAATGTTTTGTGTATCTTCTCCTTGTGAAAGAAGTATCCTGAAATCTGACATTTCTTTTTTGCCTGCTGTCTTAAAATACTTGAGAAAAAAATTCCCCCAAATATAAAAAAAAAGTTGTTTGTGAAACATAACTTTTTTGGGGGACAATCCAAATATTTCAGTGTTCTCTCCTCCTCTCCCCTGGTAACAGTGGAAGAGGCTAGTCCCACATATGGAGGCCTTTTGACAGCCTAGGGCTAGAGGAAATTAGTTTTCTTACTTCTAAAGATAAATGCAGTTTGCAAGAAGAGCTATACTGGAATGTTGAGGTCAAAAAGCTAACGGACACAGTAAAGTATTCAAAACTGAAGGAGATGAGAATCCTGTAGCAAAGTGAGTATAAAGAACTAGGAATGTCAAGGATAATCAAATGGTGCAAATGGAGAGCAAGAGAAATTATGAATGAGAATTCTTTTCTTTTGATCAACCAGTAATCAGTAAGGCACCCTGACACAGTCTTGTTTTGCTTGGCCAGTAGTATGATTTGATTTGATTAATGCAAAGACTTCTTGTTTTATATTTTTAGAGATTGTGTTTGGCTTTTTTTTTCTATCAGGGCTTTGAAGAAGGGCACATACTCCCCTTCGAAAGAGCAATTATCCTATTTCAAAACATGCAGCGTATTTTTCCATATAACTTTTTTGAGATGGAGTCTCACTCTGTGGCCCAGGCTGGCGTGCAGTGATGCAACCTTGGCTCACTGCAACTTCTGCCTCCTGGGTTCAAGCGATTCTCCTGCCTCAGCCTCCCAAGTAGCTGGGATTGCAGGTGCCCACCACCAGGCATGGCTAATTTTTTTTTTTTTTTTGTATTTTTAGTAGAGACAGGGTTTCACCATATTGGCCAGGCTGGTCTTGAACTCCTGAAAACCTAGACAATACAATTCAGCACATAGGCTTGGACAAAGACTTCATGACTAAAATACCAAAAGCAATGGCAACAGAAGCCAAAAGTGACAAATGGGATCTAATTAAAACTAATGAGCTTCTGCACAGCAAAAGAAACTATCATCAGAGTGAACAGGCAACCTACAGAATGGGAGAAAATTTTTGCAATCTATCCATCTGACAAAAGGCCAATATCCAGAATCTACAAGAAACTTCAACAAATTTACAGGAAAAAAACAAACCACCCCATCAAAAAGTTGGCAACAGACACTTCTCAAAAGAAGTGAACAGACACTTCTCAAAAGAAGACATTTATGCAGCCAACAAACATATGATAAAAAGCTCATCATCACTGGTCATTAGAGAAGTGCAAATCAAAACCACAATGAGATACCATCTCATGCCATTTAGAATGGTGATCATTAAAAAGTCAGGAAGCAACAGATGCTGGAGAGTATGCTGGAGAGTATGTGGAGAAATAGGCCCAGCTGATTGGTTTGACCAGGTGTGCCTTTTACATAGCCTGCAAAAAGACTGGCCATCCCACACATGTAGTTTTTTCTGGAGGCTGGCATGACACCTGGCACACCTGGTGACAAGGGAAAGAGGGCGGGAGCCACCATATTGGGTGGACCTGGTTTCTAGCTACCAGTATTTGCATATCAGTGCTTTCAGGTCTGGTTATTCAAGCCCCTTTCTGATAGAAAAGACATGGATTGGGAGTTGCTTTTTTTTTAAAGGAAAGTTCCACTGGGAACTTTCACCCTTTCTAGCTGCCTAAAAATTGTTTCTTAATAACTCCTGTAATAGAAGCAGCCTGAGGCTCTCACCAGATGCAGATGGTCAATATTCAATTTTATAGATTATTAGAGATGTGAGCCAAATAAACCTTTTTCTTTATAAATCACCCAGCCACAGGTATTCCTTTATAGCAACATAAAACAGACCAAAACACATGGGAAGTAAGAAAATTTCTGCCTTACATGATACAGGTCTTTCTAGTCATTATTATGTGACACTCTTTGCTTCCTCTAGTAGAAAGTAGATGTATTTCATAAACAATTATGAAGTAGGCAAAATTCCACAAAGTTTGGGCCAATTCAATTATTCAAGAGATATTTGCTTAAGTTTCAACAAAGTGGAGGAAACAAATCTTGATTCTGACTCTATAAAAAGAGAAATGTTTGCTATTAGAAATATTTCTATTAGAGGATACAGAAATCACACATCTCACTATAATATAATAACAAAAGGTTGTAATTTGATGAAATTACTGACATTCACCTTAATTATAAAATGTAGACAAGTTTTAGCAGTACTTTAAAGGAAATAGTTGGTCAGACCAGGACGTGATGTAATAACAATGAACTATGTACATCCCTATACTTATCTATCCTTCCTAGAATATGGGGAGGGAGTTGAGGGGAAGTCTTCAATTAATAGACTTGAAAAATTCAAAGAACCTCATCAGCCAAAATATAAGAAAATAATGCAGTTACTTTATAAATGTTAACTATTATTGTTAAAAATAAAAACATAAAAATAAATTTGTTGAAAATACTGTCTCTTGGAATGCTGACATTTTTAAATGCATTTCATTATAATAAGAATCTATTAATTACATTAATTACTTTGCGAACTAGAAAGTTCTTTCCCACCTTGTTTTTGACTAGAAAAATCATCTGGAAACACATTACTATTTGCATATCACTTGCTATAATGGGTCCCATATTCTTGAACATCATACTTCTCTGACTACTACCAAATAAATGTTGTCCCCCTTTAGAATAAATTTTTTTTGAAGGACTCAGATACAATTTCCGCATTCATCCACTGCACATTCTCTTCAATCTCCTCCGTTCATCCTTGTCACTACACCTCTGAAACATTATAGGGTCACCAATGTGCACCATATTGTCTATTCAAGTCTATTACCCATATTCAACTTTCCCACCAGCATTCACACAGTTAACACTCTTATTCTAGAAACACTGGCATTGGTTTCCATGTTACTGCACTCTCTTAGTATCCCTCAAGGCTCACCAGCTGCTGACTCTTTGTACCTTTGCTCTTCTGTCTACTCCAGACCACGAAGTGACGGAGAACAAATGTTTTCAGTTCTTGTCATTTTTCTCTCCTCCAACAACACTTTCCCAATAGGTGAATTTATTTATTTTTTTCTCCTCAGATATACTGTATCATTACTTCATGTCAGTAGCATAACTTGACAAAGTTTCAGCACTGACATGAATTTATTAATTCCAGTATTTGGTCTTGAATTTTGAATATTAAATTCTGATGTTTATCCACTCACAAATTGCTTTTGTCCGTTTTATACATCATAGTTAATACTACTTCAATTTACCCAGTCTCTTAGACCAAAACACTAGGCTTTCTCCTTGATTCTTCCAGTCATTGTATCCTTATGTAATCTTGCTATTTATTCTTTCAGAAAGTATCCAAACTGGACTGTTTCTTAAAACACTACTGCCTGGATCCTACTTAAAGTATGTAACATCTTTTACATAAACTTTCCAGTAACCTGCTAACAGTTCCCAAAACATTCTCCTGTTCCCAGAACTATTGATGACCTGTGAGACAGCTGCAGTAATCTTCACATTCTAATTCAGATTACAAATATTATCCAGCATAAAACCCAATAATTATTTCCCATTACTCAAAATAAGGTATAAACTCTTTATCTCATCCCACCTTATAGTTCCCTGTCTTTATTCTCTTCTTCTGAAACTTACCCTTACTCATTTTGTTCCAACCATGTAAGCCTTCTCACATTTTCTCTAATGGGTTATCCCTATTTCCATTATTTTTTGTTTTCCTCTTTCTGAAAGACACTTGATTCGTAACTTCTGATAGCCTGCTCCTTTTTATCATTCAAGTATCAGCTCAATAGCCCCCTTTAGAGAGGTCATCTTGTCTATCCTATCTAATTTCCTGCCCAGTCATATCTGGCTCCTCAATCCACTTTATTTTCTTCGAAGTGTAATCACCATCAAAAATTACATTTTCTTGATTCAGGTTATTTTTTCATCCAAAGATGCCTTAAGTTTTCTGCCATTTATATCATCTCCCTTTGTTCTTCCTCTTTCAACTATTTTCTAAATCTGATCAAAATGCTGCCAGAAGTTTACACCTGAGGTTCACTACATAAAAGAAAAAAAGAGTAAAAAATATAGCTGAATATTTTCTCAGTAATTTGGCATATAAAGAGCCTTTTTTTCTTTTTTCCCCTCAAAGATTTATTTGTTATTTTTATTCTGAATTTTAAAAAGAACATGTATATACATGAGTGTGTGTGTGTGTGTGAGAGAGAGAGAGAAAGAGAGAGTGTTAACTGTATCATTTGTATGTCTTCATTTAAGTGTGAAATATTATTAAACATCTTTGAAGGGGGTATGTGTAGAAAGTAATCTCAATGCAGCACCTTACTTTTAAAGCTTTAATATGGAATACATATTTTTATCATTGATATTTGATTTATGAAATATTGTTGTGTCCTAAGACAGTACAAACATAAATCAATTTATAGATACAAATTTATTTAAAATTTACTTACTCTTATTTTTGTGAGTTATATAGCTATTAGGAAATCGAAGACATTTATTTTCACAATGATTCCAGAGCAAGTTAAATGTTCTTAATTTATGTAGATGAGCCTTCAATATATCCTTAAGAATATATAAAAGAGATGAGAATTAAACAATTCTCATCAACAGAGCATCAAGAGTTTATTTTTATTTTTAGCAAAACCATACTTCAAATTCAAGTACTGTAAAATTAATAAGATTCTTATTTATTGTTTATGTACATTTTCTCATCACCTAAACCATAACAGATACTTTTAAAAAATCAATGAATGAAGATAATTTCTCATCTTAAAATTAACTAAAACTATCAGTCTCCACATATTACCTTGGTACTACTAAATGTGGACCACTTATTTTGATTAAAATGTTCGAAGTAACAACACAAATTTGTTGAACATCTATATAATATGAGCTCTTATAATGTCTTTTTATTATTTATGAGACAGTGTCTTGCTCTGTAACCCAGACTGAAGTGCAGTGGTACAACTGCCCCCCGCAGGCTTGACCTCTTGGGTGCAAATGATCCTCCCACCTCAGCATCACAAGTAGCTGGGACATTACATTAATTAACTTACAGCA
Source organism: Homo sapiens (assembly GCF_000001405.40). Classification (NCBI taxonomy): domain Eukaryota; kingdom Metazoa; phylum Chordata; class Mammalia; order Primates; family Hominidae; genus Homo; species Homo sapiens. Next base: position 89,835,232 of record NC_000013.11, on the reverse strand, counting down.
ATAATCCTTCTGCATCTGTTAAAATATTTTGTCATATTTATTTGGTGAAATAATACTTAGCAATAAAAAAGGAAGGAACTACTAATTGATGTAACGATAGATAAAAGTCAAAGAATAAGTTAAAAGAAGCCAGATACTAAATAACGTAAACTTCATGAGTTCATATATACTTTATATAAAGGGCAATTTTTGGCAAAATTACTCTAAGCGATTAAAAATCAGAAAGTTGCAGTGGGTAGAAAGAAGGGTCAACTTCAATGGGGCACAAGCAGACTTTCTGAGGTGATGGAAATGTTCTATCTACATCTTGTTTTGGGTGATATTGCATAGACACAGACAGTAGTAGAAACTCATTGAATTAAATATAATCCATGCATTGATGTAACAGTCTCCAGTTTTCTGTTTGGGGGACCTACACAGACCAGGAGACTCTTCCAATTTCTTCCTGCCTACAGTTTCTTTTAATAAGCTGCAATACACACGTAAAAAAAAATCTGAGAAAAATATGCATTATAGAAGATAGGGTTGAAGAGTATGTATTCTTTAAAAATTTAAAAACAATGTGGCATGACCTTGTACAGGTATTTTCTCTCCTAGGGATATATGTTAGAGAAACCATGTGTGTATAGAACAGGAGACCTGTACATGAGTATTCAGAGTGATATTATTGACGGGAGCAGAATCTGAGAAGAAACATGTTACATGTCTATCAAGAGGAAGATGGATGAATAAAATGTGAAATATTCAGACAATATAATTTTTATTGCTTAAAAAACAAATGAATTATAGCAAAACACTAAAACTTGGACACGTACTATATTTAGTGTTGCATGAAGAAGCAATTAGCATAAATACTAAAATGTTTATATGAAGTTTAAAAAATAACCTACACTAAACATTGTATTGCATGGAAAGGTAATGACAAATACAAAATTTAATAACATATTGTGACCGCCTGTTGGATTAGATAGAAGAATTTAATGGACAGCAAAACAAAAGTAAATGCCAGGATTTTGATAATATATTTCTTAGGCTGAGTGGTGGCTTCGTAGTTGTTCATTTTATTACTACATTTTACGGTATACATATCTATTATATTCTTTTGTATACATATTATATAATGCAGTTTTTAAAATGTGTAGTCAGTTATAATGTGTGAGATTTTTGAGCTGCAACACTAGAAAGATGGCAGAACAAGAGCAAAGAAAAATCCCTTTGGTTCCAGAAAATCTCCTGAAAAAGAGGGAGGCTTATCAAGCCCTCAAAGCCACCCAGGCAAAGCAGGCACTTTTGGCAAAGGAGCAGAGGAAAGGAAAAGGCTTCAGGTTTAAGCAATTGGAATCATTCCTACATGATTTCTGACAGCAGAAACGTGACAAGGTGTGTCTCAGATGACTAGAAGTGAAAGTTCATACCTTGGAATTGCCAGATAAACATTCTTTGGCTTTTGTTGTAGGCATCAAAAGAATTGATGGCGTGAGTTTACTGGTGCGGAAAACCATTGCAAGACTTCACCTAAGGAAAAGTTTTAGTGGTGTCTTTGTAAATGTCACCCACCGGAACCTAAAAATGCTGCTTTTAGTGGAAACTTATGTGACCTGAGGATTTCCAAATCTGAAATCTGTCCGGGAACTCATTTTGAAACAGGGACAAGCCAAGGTCAAGAATAAGACCATTCCTCTAACAGACAACACAGTGATTGAGGAGCACTTGGGGAAGTTTGGTGTCATTTGCTTGGAAAACCTCATTCATGAAATTGCCTTCCCAGAGAAGCATTTCCAGGAGATCTCATGGTTCTTGCACCCTTTCCACCTCTCAGTGGCCTGTCATGCTACCAAAAATACAGTGGACTTCCTCAAGGAGATGGACTCACTTGGCCATCAGGGTAAACGCACCAATCAGCTCATCCACCAGCTGAACTAGACCCAGGTGCCAAACTGCAGTACATTTTTATCAGTGAAGTGGAAGCATGTGTTTTTGCTTTTTTGGGAATTTTTATCAAGTATCTTCAGAGAAGATTATTTCCTGCTTTAGTCTTCAAAAACTAGAAAGGAAGGATCAAAGAAAAGACAGTAGGTCATTTTCATGGCAAGCACCTCTCATCGCAGTCCAGTTCCAAGGAAAAATTCCAGTGTTTTCTACATTGGCTGCTGCCTCCTCTGAAATCAGCACATTCCACGGAGGAAGGAGTCTGGCTTTGTTGCATCTTGTCTCCTAGTATTTAATGTTGGTAAATGAGTAACTCTAGCATTTGTACAAGGCTCCCTAAGACTCCAGCAGCAGTTGATCTAGCCCAGGGACATAATTCAATCTGGAGATTCCTGGTGCCTTGTTTTGAAAAAGATTTGAAATACACATAGGAAAAAAGGCACCTAAATAAATGTTCACTTGTTTCTGATGTGAAAAAAAAGAGATTTTTATAATCTGATTGACAATGAGAATAGTGAAAATATTGAATTGGTTGGGGGTTGTAAGCAAATTTTTGTGGAAAGAATGTATAAAGGAAATTAGAAAATGAAAAGTAAATTGACACAGAGTTATATGTTTGATTTTTGAGAAGAACTTAGAAGAAAATTCAGATACTACATTTTATGCAAATGATACTTCTCAACAAAGAGTTGTCTTTTTCTTGTTGGAATGCATAGAATGTTGTCCTCTTTCCTGACATTCCAATTTATTAAGGGCAAAGACATAAATTCCATTTTTCTGTCTTTTGAAGCTTGAAGCCTTAGTGCTTATTAAGACTAAGTCTAGTAAATAATGCTTTACCTAGAAATTGTAAATAGGTTAGATTATTTCTTGGAGAAAACAAGTCTTTCTAAAAATAAAATTATTAAAGAATACCTTTCAGATAAACTTTCCTTCACCTCATTTACTTTTCTATTTCTCTATTTAATTAATTTATCCAAAGAAATGATCATTTTAGTAATGATTCTGATAAATTAATTTAAAATCTTTATTTCATCTTGCCTTCTAATTCAACTTTGATTAGTTCTAAATGAATTAGATAAATAAAACTAAGGGAGAAACATTTGCTTAGCCATTGATACTTCATTAGTACATTGTTGTTATGTTTTATTTATATTACATAATTTACTCAGCAAAAATTATGTACTCCAGTCTTTTTGTCTGGAATTATAACAAAACTGGAATTGTGACAGAGAACTATTTTATTTCATCTATACTCATTAAAAGACCAAGGCATACAAGAAAAACTATATTTTAAATAATATTAGGTTTTTATAATTTGGGACTAAAGATATTCAATAATAAATTTAAAAAATATACTTTTTATCTAGATTTTAAGACAAAAGTATTGTCCACTGTATATCACTGCATGACCCTAAAAGATTTCTGAATCCATACAACTAAAAAGAGGCCAAATATCAAAGGGATATCAAATACGATGGCAGCTTTTTCTCTGCCATTACTGACAACAGCTTCCAAATCTTTTCAGCCTTAAAGCTTTGGAGATCAAAGAACTATCATAAAGGCTCCTGACACATAAGTGTGATCTCTTTAAACATTATACTAATCCAGGCAAGAAATATACAGTGAAATAACCCATGTTCCTATATTCAGTGTTTTGGGTAGATATACCTGCTTATTTAAGTTGCATCACTGAGGAGTTTTCAAGAATTCACCTCGCTACTTATTTACATCATATTATTGAGAGAAAAAAATGAGAGAATAGTTTTGAGCACTTCATCTGCACAATCACCTTCACATCTTTTTGTCCTATGCTTTTCTCACATTTTAAAAACAAAAACTGAGGCTGACAATTATGCCCTTATTGTCGATTTTAGTATTATTTATGTGTTAGTTATGTTTTATTATTTAAGCTAATTTTACTTCCAATTTACAAATATACTTTGACCAAATTCCATGTCCCCTTGCCCAGTTATAGTCCATTTCTCAATCCTGAGTTAGTACTCACAGTTTATAACCCGTTTGCCTTTATCATACTCTCCATTTTCTTCAAATACCATATGATACCATATGTAAATGTTAGATTTTCTAGGTTCTTGCATTTATAAAAACATTTTCGTGGCCTCCATTTATGAAAGAGAATTTGGCTGGATGTTAATTTCGTGTGTCATAAACTTTGTTATTTAAAGATCTGATAACATTCTTATATAAATATTCCCGACATTCTTATATAAATATTGTTGAGAAATCAGCAATCCAGTACTTGTTATTTGATAAAAAAAAAATTTTACTTGACATATTATGATATTTTATCCAACTATGTAAAAATGTATATGTGATATATTTCCAGGCCCTCTAAAGATCTCAATTGCTTTTTTCGGGGAAATATAGTAATAATTGCTTCTTTAAAACGTGGCTCCTTAATCATCTTGGAAATATTTGGTTTATAGCTTTCATTGTGATTACACTTACTCATTTTTCCAAAGTGCCTGCGTTCTTATGTTAGAGTTCTGCTTTTTTACGTATATATCACCTCATCCCTCCTTCTTTTCAAAAAGATTTTCTACTTGCATTTAGAGAGATCTCTTCTGCATGTTCCTGATTCATATTTTATCTATCAGTATTAATTTTACAACTTATATCATGTTTTTTAAATTTTGCTGTTGGACTTTTTAGGTAATTGGTGCTTTCTGTTTACCATTTCCAATTTTCACTTATCTTGGCTCCTTACCTTACTGTATATTCTCTTTAAATGGTTAATTCTTAGCCAGGTGTGGTGGTGCGCACGTGTAGTTCCAGCAACTTGAAGGCTGAGGCAGGAGGCTCACTTGCACCCAGGAGTTCTAGGCTGCAGTGAGCTATGCAGTGTACTCCAGCCTGGGTGATAGAGCAAGACCCTGTCTCAAAAATAAAATGTTAGTTCTCTTTCTCAAAAGCCATGGAATCTTGCAAATTATCAAAGATGCCTAATAGAGTTCTAAAATTATTGTCTAATTGTTGTATTAAATAACTCTGGCAACAAAGAGATTTTCATACAGTTTCATTTATTTCCCTCATTGTTATCGAGTTTATTCATGTTCAGATAAGAACAAATTATTCCAAACCCTATGTTTTAGTGGAAACTTGATAAAGATTATTTTGGGCCCCTCTCTCTTCCAATTTGATGAGACTTAAATACTTTAGTTCATCCTGGATATGTGCGTTAAATGAAAAACTCTTGGCCCAACATCAAAATTTTAATGTTTTGGTTCTCTGATAAATTGTGATGAAAATATTATTTTTCCTCAATGTTTCGCTATTTGACCCTATTATCAGATGGTAGACATCGATTTGTATTTCTTTCTGATCTCTACCGATTTTTTGCCTTACATTCAGTTCTGCATACGAAGTATATTTTATGGGAAGCAATGTGGCACCATGTCTTACCAGTATGTTTGCTGATAGTTGCAAATTTAGAAAAAAAAGTGGTTTGGGATGAGATAAGCAGTGAAATGAAAAGAAACATTCTGTTTTTTCCAAAGAGCACTCACTGTGCAATAGAAAGAAATCTGAACCATTTTGAACTTGGTACAAGATTTTATTTTTGAAATGAGAAGATAATATTTGTTGCTTAAAGGGTCTACATTCAGGTTCGTAGTTAATAGTTAGTGTTGAAAAGTGCCTCATTCATTTTTATACTACGTCAAAGAGCTGGCTTACCTATTTCTGTTTCACTGGTATCCATTGCAAGTCAGCATGAGGTTAACTCTCAATCCTGTTTAAACATTATTGCAGTTATTTTTCCTCTCTTCTTGAATATCTAAATGGCAATTGAAATATACTATGATAGAAACTTCTGGTCACACACCAAATTACCAGGAAGTGTATGTAATTTTCCAAAGTTTGTTAACTTGGAAATTAACTAGATTATTTTTATAGCCTCCCCCCTTTTTTTGACCAATGCTGTAGTTTAGCTAGATAGAGTCAAATATGTTCAAATATTAATATAGAATTTATTTTCTGAACCTAGCCAAATGGTCTCTTTCCTTTTACATTTGGGCTAGCCTCTTCCACTGTAGTAATTTTATCTGTTTTTAATGGTGGTCAACTGTTCCATCTGTTAAATCTCAATAAACTTATGCTTACCTACACCTCATACGTGTGATAATATGCACAGCATATTATATTTTTCTAGTCATTCTTCTGTCTTCTTCTTAATAATTTTAAACATTCTGTCAGGGAAAAAAAAGCTGACAATCATTTTTATGCTCACACTACCTAATACTGTGCTTGCTGCTTATAAAAAGAATAAGTTAAATCATTAGTCAATTGCTTGAGTTCCTCATACCTAACTTAAAATAGCATACTAAGAACAACATTATAGCTAGTTTCCAATGATGCCAACATTTTAAAAATGTATACGGTATACATTTATATAAATGTATAATTTCAAAGTGTTTGCAATATTGCAATAATAATTTCAAAGTGTTTTCTGATTTCTTTTGATTTGTTCTTGTGCCTTTTGTACCACTGAATGCAATTTTTATTTAATCCTGCAAAAATATTGCAGGATGTTGCTGCAATATAGCACTTCATTGCAAAACTCTTGACTTCATGTTTGCGCCATAACCATTTAACATCCCATTCAAATTTGAAGATTGTAACTTTTAAAATGTATTAGCTGTAATAAATAAAGCAGAGGTTCCTTTTTATTTCATTAAGCAAAAGCATAAAAAGACACGAAGTGAATCCAATTTGTGTGGTTCCTGTTGTTATATTCTCAGAAATAGTCATTGCAAAAGTTTTAGTGAGTATACATTTACTTCCAAATGGTTTAAGTAGTAGAAATTTAAGCAAAATAAAATACTTAATATTATGTTCCTTGCTAAGGTTTCTATTTGTTCCAAGGTATAAAAGCAATACTTTTAAACCTCATTGGAAATTCTGAAATTTTGATTCATTCTAAAGGAGCAGTTAAACGGTGTCGTGCTTTTTAAATATAGAAAAGAACAGGATTATAATAATTACTTTTCCCGATGATATTCAGATGTGTGCGTTTAGGAAGACAAATTATTTCACGGAAAGACCCTTGCTTATACATTTTTCCTCAGGCTGTATTTCAGAATTTTCTATTTACACAATTTCTGTGCTTCTCACCTTCTCCTTGACCTACTGTCACTGTGAGCACACTGTTATCTACATCAGACCAATCTTATTCAACTTTTATGTAACAAAGTTGTGAATTGTTTTTTAGTTGTCATGGACCCCCAGATTGAAGGTCATCTAAGCTGAGTATGCCCAGATGAAGCAACTGTGCAATCACAGGGGAGGACCTAAGTTTTGGGACAAAGGAGCAGAGACAGAATTAAGAAGCTAACAGCATTTAGCAGGATCCAAGATCCGATCAGATCAAGCTTTAGAGTCACCCCATGGCAGAATCCAATCAGGTCATGGCTCCTGGCATCACCTTATTGTAAGATCCAATCAGATTATACCTCGGTGCCCTATGCTTAGAAAACCCAACCCAAATCCCAGCCGAGGAGACAGATTTTAGCATTTTATCTTGTCTCCTTGCCAGTTGACACTCACAATAAAGCTTTTCTTTTTTTCAAAAGCCAGTGCCATGAGATTGGCCTCTATGTGCACCAGGCAGCAAGCCCATGTATTACTCGGTAGCAACATTAATATTCCAAGTTTGTTTATGTAGACAATGAAACTGAAACCTGAACTCTTTTGTGAGTAATATTTTATTTTGTTAGAAATACAAGTAAACTGCATTAGTATGTATTGTTCAAACATGGCAACATATGGTTTTGTAATACGTTATCTAAATTTGAACTTCTAAAGACTCAGCAAAAGACTTTCTGCAAAGTAAAACTAAAAAATTCTTAAGGAAACTATATTTGTATTTTGATCAGGACTTTAAATAATTGTAAGCTTACTTTTCCTTAAATATTTTAAAGCCATTAGAATAAAAAATGTACAGTTAACATAATAAGGAATTCTTGGCTCTTGCAATATAGTAAAAATATTACTTAGGTTTTAAAGTTTCCTGCAAACTAAATGAGAGCAAATTATTATGAGTTACTACTGAAAAGATCATAACATACCATTTAGATAAATAATGCAGTAAGGACAAAAGTATTTAAAGAATATTAGGGTGTCCCCTTTAATGGTAAATAAAATACGATTTTGGAGATAATTAAGGTATTAACTATGTATATGCATTTATATATGTGTGTATATGTATACTTAGAAAATAGATAAAACAGGGAAGAAAGAAACAGCAGGAAGAAGTGGGAAAAAAGGAAGAGACTGAATTATTATCATGTATTATCAAAACAGACTCATCTTGAACTTGTTTTCCTGATTCTGCAGTTGTACATTCTTCCCCATTAACTAGTTTATTCTGGGATTAATTTTCCATAATGTAAAATAATAGAATATTCTTACATGATACCTTCAAAATCCCAATGGATTTTTTAACTTCAGCAATATTTGAATATTTTTGGAAATGTAACATATTTTATTTAAATTTTCTGTATTGTTAAATAGTTATTACATGTGTTCAATATTATTAAACATTAAAAAGTTTAAAAGTTGAGTTTAATACATATTATTCAATCATATGACTGTACAACCAACCATTTGTTATTACGTTTATGTAATTCCCAAAGGCCGAGAAAGAAATAATTTGAATAATAAGATAAATATGTATTTATAATATATAGAATGAAATAAATGTCTATGCATTTATTCTGATTATTTAAATAAATAAGTGGTAATTTTTTTTTTTTTTGACAGAGTCTTGCTCTGTTGCCAGGCTAGAGTGCGGTGGCACAATCTCAGCTCACTGCAACCTCTGCCTCCTGAGTTCAAGCGATTCTCCAGCCTCAGCCTCCCTAGTAGCTGGGACTACAGGTGCGAGCCACCATGCCCAGCCAATTATTGTATTTTCAGTAGAGACGGGGTTTCACCATATTGCCCAGGATGATCTCGATCTCCTGACCCCATGATCCACCCCCCTCAGCCTCCCAAAGTGCTGGAACCACAGGCATGAGCCACACTCCCTGGCCTATAAGTGATAAAATTATTGAGCATACATATGAGAAAAAATATGATACTGGCATATATTCAAATTACCTCTCCTAAAGTATTTATTAATTACAAAGGAAAAACATAATACCTCTATTGTGAAGAAATCTTGGTCAGGCACTGTGGCTCACGCCTGTAATCCTGGCACTTTAGGAGGCCGAGGCAGGCAGATCACGAGGTCAGGAGATCGATACCATCCTGGCCAAAATGGTGAAACCCCATCTCTACTAAAAAATACAAAAAATTAGTTGGGTGTGGTGGCATGTGTCTGTAATCCCAGCTATTCAGGAGGCTGAGGTAGGGGAATCGCTTGAACTCAGGAGGCAGAGGTTGCAGTGAGCTAAGATCATGCCACTGCACTCCAGCCTGGCAACAGAGCAAGACTCATCTCAAAAAAAAAAAACACAAAATAACAACAACAACAACAACAACAACAACAACAAAACCTTGTATTATTCCCTCAACCAATTGAACAAGATAACAATAATAATAAATACCAACACCTTGTATCACCTGATGTGATATACTAAGACCATCACTTCTATGATGATCTTGCCTAAAGGGCACAATCTCAGTCTAATTACGGGAGAATATCCCAATAGGAAGGGCAGTCCACCAAAATGACAACAATAACAGAAACTAACAATTATTTTTCAGAAGTGTCAGTCATTAAATACAAAGAATAACTAAGGACCGACGCTGATTAGAAGAGACTAAGGAGAAATTAAAGCTAAATGTAACACAGAAGCCTGCTTTGGATTCCAGAAGAAAAACAAAAGGGCATGAGTGAAAAAACCTGGTAACCGTGAAAAAAGACTATAAAGTCTTTCCTCTGTATCCATGAGGGATTGTTTCCAGGACCTCTGCAGATACCACAATGACCACGTGCTCAAGTCCCTTATGTAAAGTGGCATACTACTGGCATGTAATATAGGCACATCCTCCTCTATATTTTAAATCATATCTAGATTACATATAACATCTAATACAATGCATATGCTATATAAATAGTTGTTATATTGTGTTGTATATGCTATATAAATAGTTGTTATATTGTGTTATATTGTGTTGTATTTTTTATGGTTGTATTGCTATTTTTTGGTTTTGTTTTCTGAATATTTTTCATATATGTTTGTTCCAGTCCAAGGATGTGGAAGGCCATCTGTAGCTTAATTAATCATATGATATAAATGTTAATTTCTTTGTTTAAAAAATTGTTGTATAGTTAAGTGTTAGTGTTAGCAGACTTTTTGTAAGCCTAAAGTTCTATTTGTGTATATATGTTCTATCTATATTTTCTATTATATAATGTAAATGATATTTTATATATTTAGAATGTATTACGTACACTATATGTAATACATACATTATCACCCCAATGAATATTTACATATAATAGCCAAAAGCTATCTATGTATATTTAAAATTAATTTAAAATTAATTAATAGAAAATACAGTTTAAAATTCAAGTGTTCAGTCACACAAGCCATGTTTCAAGTGCCCAGTATGTTAATATGGCTAGTAACTACTACATTGGACATCACAGATTATGTAACACTTCCATCAATACAAAAAATTCTATTGGACAGAGATGCTCTGAAACATAAGATCTTATGTAGGCCACTTCGAATAGTGAATTGAATTATTAAAGCAATTTCATAGAATATCATTAATCTGTATGCAGCTATTTTTAGGCTTCTAATTCCTCAGTTGAGTCCATGGGAAAATTTGACTTGAGTACTATGATCTCCCTACTATTTTATAAATGGGCCATGTCTACTTTAGTACCTTTGTATATATGCCATTTGCACAGTGTTTGACTAATCACATAAATAACTTTTATTTAGAAAACCAAATTATCTAAATCAAGTTGAACAGCAGTAGCATGCTCCAAGAAATATGTTTCTGTATGGGGGTGGGGAAGTAAGGGAAGAAGAAGGTGCATGGTAAAAAGATTGCTTATGAAATAACAACCAAGAAGGAAGTGGTAAATCAGTGGTGCTAACTCTGTTATTCTTTTTGGCTTCATTTCACACAACTAGGTCAAATTAATGCTGGGGATGGAGGTTGAATGATGAATGTGGATATTAATTGTTCCCAGTATAATTTATTGACTATTTTAAGCCATTGATGTCCCCACCTCCAGTTCAAAGTATAATTAGAGAATGAGTTTCCAATAATTTTGGAACAGGATAAACATAAGACAACTATTGCAATCCTATTTTGTGATGAAGCCTCAGGTATTTATGATACTCCTCCTCCTGGCTTTTGTCCATAAGGGCCATGAATTTTTCCAAATTATGCTAATCTTGTTATCTAAAGGCTATTACTTCAGAAGAAGGAGCTGGTGCTCTTTTCTCTTTCAAGAAAACACTTACAGAATTGACACGTAACTATTATCATTCAATTTGTTTTATTTTCTTTGGGCAACTAACTACTAGGTTAGTAGTAACTAATGCATTTTTTTAAGTACTAACAACTCTTGATGACCAGTGCAGTTAGCATTCTTATTTCTGATTTACTCAAAAATACCAACCTTTAAACGGTTTTTCTCTCCCTCATTCTCTCATTAAGAAAGGAGACATAACTTATGTAGAAAATTTTCTAGAAGTAGGCTGTTAGCTTTTATTTCTTCATTCTGTAACATTAGGTAATTACAAACCGAACTTTAAAAATTTCACATTAACCAACTAAGTACATGTGCTCTTTGTTGAATCAATGAATGAGAACATATTGATCTTAATGAGTAAACAACATGTAAATAAAGATGTATTTAAAATAAATATAACTATAATGCATTTCACAGGTTGTTAATTTTTTTATTGTTGTAATCATATATATAAGCAAAACTGTTTAAAATGTAAAATTGTTTAGGTTCTTGTTTCTATATATATATATATATATACACAAACACACATACTATATACATATACACACACATACTATATACAGAGTATATTTCTTTTTATTATATATATGGTGTGTGTGTGCATATACATTCCTATACTATATAGTTATTACTATGTACATAAACTAACAAGAACCTAAACAATTTTTACTAGAATAATAAGGATGTTTATATGAACAAACATATATGCCCTTTAATTTTATCAATAATGAATTGTTTACGTATAGGGCTTAAATATCTTGTGAGTCCAAAAGCCAATGTTTAAATATTTATATAAAATTAAAAGTAAGCAAGACATATATTTTACCTGACAGATTTCCTTTTAATTATTCAGAATATGCTACTAAGATGTGTATTTTATTTGGTTAGTAATTATTTATTGTTCTGCTTTAAAGATTTAAATACAGTATCTGTATTTTTGCCATTTGTGATTACTAAAAAGGAAAAAGTATAAACCATTACAAATTCCAGTCACAATTCTTTGTTGACATGATCCATTTATGTTCAATAATTCACCTCTCTTGTGTCACTCAGACCAACTTGGTATTTATATCTCCTAGTCACTTGACATTCATCAGGTCTCGTTCTCTTCTTGGTCAGAGATTGAGGAAAGAAAAACAGTCGTAAATACGTGAGGCTCTGTCATGAATACACAAGAACACTATTCACTACAAAAAAATGAACTGCACCTAAAACATCAGACACAAAGCACTCATAGAAAGCATTCAGAGAGAGAGTGAGTGAGAAAGGAAGAGAAAGACTGAAACTGTTCAGTTTGGGGGTAAAAAATGAACGGTCTGAAGTAACTTAAAGAACAAGCCAGTGACAAACATGTTCTGTGAAAGTGTTGTATAACTTAGGCATCATTTTATTTACAGTCCTCCCACTAAAATATCCACCATCTCATTCCATATTGTAAGGGGGGGAGTGAAAGCACAAGTTTCTCTATCCTGCATAAAGAGCCTCACATTTTCCTCTTTGCAAGAGCCTAATGGAAAGACCTCATCAATAGAATTACCAGACACCTTTCATGGTTATTAGCCTCCATTCCAGATGACATTTAAAAAATTCTTTATTAGGCTATTATATAGAAAAGAACTACTACCCTTCCATTAGTATCTATATATTCAACTAGCCCAGTTGGTCTCCAATATGATAAATAAATGAATAATTAGAGAGATAACATTTACGCAATCCTTATCAATAATGTAAATGAAAAACCTATTCATTCAAAATTATTTAGTCCTGTGAAACAGTTACTGAGATTACTTTTATTACTTCATCAAATCCTCAAAACATCCTTATGAATTAGATACTATTATTGTTATTATTATTATAAATTTTAGATATAAGGAAACTGAAGCTCAAACTAGCAGAGAAAATAAATGAAGGCAGCTTTCAATATATTTCTGTCTGATTGCGGAAGCTAATTTAATAATCTGATTGTACCACTGCTTTAATAATATTTTTAAATGGCATCATTATTTGTATTTCCTCTCATAAGAATAAAATGAAAATGAAAAATACCCATCAGAACAAATTTCAAACCCTCAAATACCTGAAAAATTGTGTTTTATGTAATTCATGAAGTCCTAAGGTTGTGATATATTCCGATAACATATTTTGGAAAACTGTTCTCCAGATAATATACATTATCTAGAAAATATTAAGACACATAGTTGAAGGTCTGAAGAAAGTTCATTATCCTCATTGAGATCGTTATTAAGGCAAGCTAATAAAATGAGGATCTGACTGACAAGCCACACATCACTATATTGTGGACTTTTTTGTTATAATGAATATTTTTGTTTTCGGGGAAAAAAGCCCACTATACACTTGCTTGTCAAGTATATATTTAATCAACCAATTGCATCTTTTACTACATTAAAATTGAATTTTAAATGTTTTTCTCAGAATGTTAGCATCTATTCTCCATATATCTCATGTTTCCTAATATGAATTATTTTCAAAATTATATTGATCTCCTAAGTGATCTTGGATCACTGCAACCTCTGCCTGCCAAGTAGCTGGGACTATAGGCAAGCAGCATCATGCTGGCTAATTTTTGTATTTTTTAGTAGGGACAGGATTTTACCATGTTGGCCAGGTTGGTCTCAAACTCCTGACTTCGATTGATCTGTGTGCCTCAGCCTCCCAAAGTGTTGAGACTACAGGCGTGAGTCACCGTGTATGGCCAGTTTTTACGTATTTTGATGATGTTAGACTTTACTTTCTCAGTGGAGAAGTTGGCATCATCTAAGCTATTTTTCTTATCACTTTGTTTTATAAGATATAAACAAATAAATTGTGATAAATATATGCAATGCCTTATGTTTATCAATATAAGAGAGAAAGATCTGCAAACACATGCACTTGTGGACACATAGATACACAAATTTCAATTTGAAAGAAGAAAATAATCTGATATTTAAAAATAATACTGTGTTTTGCCATAGAACATGCTTTAAGGAAGCAGAGGATGATCAAAGTGTAAAAATAAAGTTGTGTAAAAGAAGAAAATTATCCGTTTTGAAAATCTTGCGGCCGGCACGGTGGCTCACTCCTATAATCCCAGCACTTTGGGAAACCGAGGCAAGTGGACCACGAGGTCATGAGATCGAGACCATCATGGCTAGCACGGTGAAATCCCCTCTCTACCAAAAATACAAAAAATTAGCCGGGTGTGGTGGCACGTGCCTGTAGTCCCAGCTACTCACACGTAGCTTCTCAAGGCAGGAGAATCATTTAAACCTGGGAGGCAGAGGTTGCAGTGAGCGGAGAACAGACACTACACTCCAGCCTGGACAACAAAGTGAGACTCCGTCAAACAAACAAACAAACAAAATGCATTATATTATAAGTGTGTAGTAGAAGAAAGAGAGCAAAATATTTACTGAAATACCCAAAATGTTTTCATATATTGAATCCTATAACAACTTGAGAGTGTCAGAGCAGCTATTTAATTAGAACACCACCTACACTATCAGAATATTCCTAAAGTCCAGGTCAAATTTTACAAATGAAAGAGAACCAGATGACCTTTATAGACTTTTCCAAAATGAAATTTGCATTGTACAAATAATTTACTAAAATCAGTGATTATGTCAATATTTCCAATAAAAAAGAAAGTTAATATTCAAATAGAAATAGGTTCTTTACATTTATGTTCCTTTATTATTCAGACCTGTGACCATGTGATTCTCTAAAACTGAATGTGGACCCACAGTTCATAAAAATGTGCATGCTTTGATAGTAGATTTTGTTCTTGGTAAAAAAAAAAATATAAAAAGAATTGCCTTGATTGCTTAAGCCCTCAATATGACAATTACTCAGTGAAATAAGGGGTAATTAATATAACACTTTAATGAGAACAACCTTTAAGGAGATAAAGGGGTGAAGAAACAAAGTAAACCAACTAAACTGCATTTTATTTTATTTTTATTTTTGTTTCATTTTTGTATTGCTTTTTTTTTTTTTTTTTTTGAGGCAGAGTTTTGCTTTTGTTGCCCAGGCTGGAGTGCAGTGGCACGATCTCAGCTCACTGCAACCTCCACCTCCCGGGTTCAGGTGATTATCCTGCCTCAGGCCTCATGAGTAGCTGGGATTACAGGTGCCTGCCACCACGCCCGGCTAATTTTTTGTATTTTTAGAAGAGACAGGTTTTCATCATGTTGGTCAACACCTGTAATCCCTGCACTTTGGGAGGCCGAGGCAGGTTGTATTACTTTTTGAGATGGGGGTTCCACTGTCACCCAGGCTGGAGTGCAGTGGTGTAATCATAGTTCACTGCAGCTTCAAACTTCTGAGCTCAAGCAATCCTTCTGCCTTAATCTGCTAATTAGCTGGTGTATTAGTCCATTTTCATGCTGCTGATAAAGATATATCCAAGACTGGGCAATTTACAAAAGAAAGAGGTTTAATAGACTTACAGTTCCACATGGCTGAGGAGGCCTCACAATCATGATAGAAGGCAAGGGGGAGCAAGTCATGTCTTACATGGATGGTAGCAGGCAGAGAAAGAGAGCTTGTGTAGGAAAACTCTCATTTTAAAAACCATCAGATCTTATGAGACTCATTCACTATCATGAGAACAGTGCAGGAAAGACCCATCCCCCAAAATTCAGTCACCTCCCACTGGATTCCTCATGTGGGAATTGTGGGAGTTACAATTCAAGATGAGATTTGGTGGGGACAGAGCCAAACCATATCATTCTGTCCCTGCCCCTCCCAAATCTCATGTCCTTACATTTCATAATCAATTGTGCCTTCTCAACAGTCCCCCAAAATTTTAACTCATTTTGGCATTAACTCAAAAGTCCACAGTCCAAAATCTCATCTGAAACAAGGGAAGTCCCTTCCACCTATGAACCTGTAAAATCAAAAGCAAGTTAGTTACTTTCTAGATATAATGGGGGTACAGGCATTGGGTAAACACAGCCATTCCAAATGGGAGAAATTGGGCAAAACAAAGGGGCTACAGGCCCCAAGGAAGTCTGAAATCCAATGGGGTAGTACAATCTTAAAGCTCCAAAATGATCTTTTCTGACTCTATGTCTCACATCAGGGTAACAGTGATGCAAGGGTGAATTTCCATGGTCTTGGGCAACTCTGCCCCTGTGGCTTTGCAGGTTACAACATCCTTCCCAGCTACTTTCATGGGCTGGTGTTGAGTGTCTGTGGCTTTTCCAGGCACATAGTGCAAGCCGACAGTGGATCTACCAATCTGGGGTCTGGAGGACAGTGGCCCTCTTTTTTATTTTTTTGAGATGGAGTCTTGCTCTGTCACCCAGGCTGGAGTGCAGTGGCATGATCTCAGCTCACTTCAGGCTCCATCTCCTGGGTTCATGCCATTCTCCTGCCTCAGCCTCCCAAGTAGCTGGGACTACAGGCACCTGGACAGCAGCCCTCTTCTAAGAGCTCCACTAGGCAGTGCCTCAGTAGAGACACTTTGGGGGCTCCGACCCCACATTTCCCATCTGCACTGCCCTAGCACGGGTTCTCCATGAGGACACCACCCCTGCAGTAAACTTCTGCCTGGGCATCCAAGCATTTTCCATACATCTTCTGAAATCTGGGTGGAGGTTCATTCTTGACTTCTGTCTACCTGAAGGCTCAACACCAAGGCTTTCACCCTCTGAAGCAACAGTCTGAGCTGCACCTTGGTCCTTTTCAGTCATGGCTGGAGCAGCTAGGATGCAGGGCACCAAGTCCCTAGACTGCACACAGCAGAGGGACCCCAGGCCTGACCCAAAAAAACACTTTTTCCTCCTAAACTTCTGAGGCTGTGATGCCAGGGGCTGCTGCAAAGGTGTGTCATGCTCAGAAGACATTTTCCTTATTGTCTTGGGGATTAACATGGGCTCCTCATTACTTATGCAAATTTCTGCAGCCAGCTTGTATTTCTCCTCAGAAAATGGGATTTCCTTTTCTATTGCATTGTCAGGCTGCAAATTTTCCAAAACTTGTATGCTCTGCTTCCCTTATAAAACTGAATGCATTTAACAGCACCCAAGTCACTTCTTGATTGCTTTGCTTCTTAGAAATTTCTTCCGCCATATACTCTAAATCATCTCTCTCAAATTCAAAGTTCCATAAATCTCTAGGGCAGGGGCAAAATGCCATCAGTCGCTTTGCTAAAACATAACAAGAGTCACCTTTGCTCTGGTTCCCAACAAGTTTCTCATCTACATCTGAGACCGCCTCAGCCTGGGTTTCATTGTCCATATCATATTCTGTGTTTTGATCAAAGCCATTCTGCAAGTCTCTAGGGAGTTCCACACTTTCCCACATTTTCCTGTCTTTTTCTGAGCCCTCCAAACTGTTTCAACCTCAGCCTGTTACCCATTTCCAAAGTCACCTCCACATTTTCAGATACCTTTTCAGCAGCATCCCATTCTACTGTTACCAATTTACTATATTACCCTGTTTTCACGCTGCTGATAAAGACATATCTAAGACTGGGCAGTTTACAAAAGAAAGAGATTTAATGGACTTACAGTTCCACATGGCTAGGGAGGCCTCACAATCACGGTGGAAGGGAAGGAGGAGCAAGTCACATCTTACATGGATGGCTGCAGGCAAAAAGAGAGAACTTTTTCAGGAAAACTCCCATTTTTAAAACTATCAGATCTCATGAGACTCATTCACTATCACAAGAACAGCACAGGAAAGACCCACCCCCATAATTCAATCACCTCCCGCTAGGTTCCTCCCACAACATGTGGGAATTACAATTCAAGATGAGATTTGGGTGGGGACACAGCCAAACCATATCAGCTGGGACTACAGACTACCACCATGCCTGGCAAATTTGTGTTGTTGTTTTTGTGGAGATTGGGGTCTCACTATACTGCTCAGGCTGGTCTCAAAATCCTGACCGCATGTGATCATCCCACTTCAGTCTTCCAGAGTGCTAGGATTACAGGCATAGCTATCACACCTGGAATTGCATTGTAAAGTTGTTTGCATTAAGTTCATTATACACATATAAAATGATTAATTTGTTCAGAGGTGTTTACTATTTTTTTCTTTTAGATATTTTATGCAGTGTTTCTGTTTTGTGTTACCTTATTTATATATATGTGTTTATATATGTATATTATGGAGATATCTCCATTATATATATAATACATAATATATAATATATAGCTCCATTACATATATATATATTACAGATTTTGATATATATATATTATATATCTCATAATCTACTGAGCTGTTCACTTGTTAGGCCAATTGTGTGACATAATACTATATTTATCACTAACACCTAATTGTCTTGGGAATTAAAATTTTTAGAATGCTTTTTTTTTTAAAAAAATGAAAGATAATTACAAAAAGTGATCTTTATATTTTTTATCTGCTACTTGTTTTTTATTATACATTAAAGGATTGGTTTTTGTTAGGTATTTAGCACATTCAGTAGTACAATTCTGCTTCAGTTTTATTATTTAGTCTATTTCCTAGAATATGCAAGTTTGAGGGGAAAAATAATGTGAAATTAAGCAGTGCAGTGAGAAAATGTCTTCCAAAGGGTAATGCCTGTGTCTTCTGCATGGTAATAACTTCAGTGGCAGACTACTGATTATCTAATTGTGATACTTTTAATTAAATTCTGTATTCACACACCTCAAAGGGAATGTGATCACTTTTGAAGTAATACATTCACTGTTTTTCTAGTACAAACTGTGCCTAATGTTTTAATTCTTTAGTCTAAATGGGATCCTCAGAGACAGATGCAGTGCCTTCATCAAAATACATGCTCATATCCTCATGGTTGGCAGCCAAAGGGCCCTAAACCTTTGTTCCTTACTTAGGATTTTAAAAATAAAGTAAGCTCAGCTTCTTTTACTTCATTTAGATCTTGCCAAGTGCCTCAGAGAGACTTTGTTCAACTGTCATTTTCTTAATGAAGACTACGTTGCCATCTTATTTAAAACCTGATATCACCCTAATTATTAAAATCTCCATTACTCTGCTCTATATTTTCACATAGGATGTAAAACCTTCTTAAGATTTCAGTGCCATATATTTAGTTATTACATGTATTTTTGTTATCTATTGACAAGTGTCTTTTAATCTATTTTGTTTCTTTTTATATTCTAATCACTTAAGAATGTGTCTTAAGCACAAAAAATACTCTATAGATAGTCACTAAATAATCTGTCCTTAAATGAATATATTTAAAATATAATTTTAGACTTGGGTCTGAATTTGCAAATATAATATTTAGTTAAAATGATGCTATATTCTTTCCAAATAGTGATACAATATAAACGTCATAATGGCAGGAGAGTGGATTCCATTTTTAGGAAAGACATAAATCAAATTAGCAATTTATTTTCTCAACCTTAGAAACACTTCTGATTTTGAGACTTTTTTTCAGGATTATGCATTTCCTACTACCAATCTCTTTCCTGGAAACAAGTTCGACTTGAGAGCCCCATCAAATCAAGGCCTATGCTTGATTTTTTTCTTTCATCCTTAGTATTAGCACTTTACCTTATTCACCATGTTCTTAATTATTTGAATAAAAGAACCCACTTCTGAAGCTAGTACACATATAGTCATTATCAGAAAATCAGTCTTTTTTCTTTGTATTCCAAATAAAATAAAGATGTTTATTTGTTTTGATTTTATTGTGTAGGAAGTTTCTCAGCATCTTTTAATTTTTTTTTACTATTTCTAACATAAATATATCACTGAACCCACTCCCCCATCTTTTACTTATACCTCTGCCAAAAAAAGAACTTGTGATGTTATTCTACAGAAGCAATCACCTTATGATCTATCTATAACTATCATCTCTCTGTCACTTTTTTCAGAAATTGAAAGCTATGTTACCCTTCTACTTTACATTGCAAAGTCTAGGGAGGGGAGATAGAGCCATTGCAAGGTGACTTTATCATTCACAATATGTGATTATGATAGCAGTCATAAATATGCTACTTAGATCATGCATATCATCTCTTGACTCTGGTGGTAATTCCCTAAGATATTAAAACTACAACACCCAATTTTGAAAGCAGTGTATGTGGCTAGAAGTTACAATAAATTAATCAATGAAAACACATATTTCATTAAATGAGACATCATAACAAGATGGAGGATGTCAAAAGAACTGCACATGTTCTTACAATGATCTTACAAGATTCTTCAGGAAAATATATCACAAATATATGGAAAGGTTTGAAATACTAGAAATGCCACTACAGCTGTATTAGTTTCTAACAGATGCTGAAACAAAATAGCACAAACTAGTGACTTAATACACTTATTCTCTCAGTTTTGGAGTCTAGAAGTCTAAAATCAAGTTGTCAACAGGGCTATGCTCTCTTTGAAGGCACAAGAGGAAGAATCTTTCCTTACCTCTTTCTAGGTTCTGGTGATTGCCAACAAACTATGTCATTCCTTTCCTTATAGATACATCATTCTAATTTCTGCCTCCATCTTCACATAGCCTCACCTGTGTGTCTGTGTCTAAATTTCCCTCTCTTTACAAAGATAGCAATCATCGGATTGGGGCCCACCCTAAAAAAAGTATGACTTTATCTTAATGATCTCTGCAAAGACCCTATTTCCAAATAAGATCACATTTACAGGTGATAGAATTAGAAGTTTGACATATTTTTTTTTCAAGAGACGAAATTCAACCAGAAATGGTGGCCTATGACTCAAAATGTCAATTATTCCTTCTGTGGAAGAAATTTCAATATATTCATATTTTAGCCCTGGCTACTCTCTTTATCTCCTGTCTGGTGCCCGACACTCTGTTTGTAGAGTTTTATGGGGATAGGGATAAAGTCATAGGGAAAAGAGGTGAGCAGAATTAGACATTCTGGCTGAAGTTTGGTTCTGGTGCTGGAATCTCTGGGTAAATTTAGGTAAAGTTGTTGCCCAAAGAGGCTACAAGCTAATTAAATTCATTAAATAAAAGCTGTATTTAAAGCCATTACCAAGGAAAAGTACTGATGTTCAAAACCACTGAATTATTATAGCTGTTCAGGAGCAGACTACAGGATGAAAAAAAAAAAAAAAAAAAAAAACGGAAATAAAGCCCAAAGTTGACAAGAGAGAAAAATGGAAAAATTTTAGGAAATGGAGTATGTTTATGAATTGTTTTTGACCTGGACAGCCTGGGTTTTACTTTGACCAGACATTGTCTTGTATACGAGTTGTTCATTACTATACTGCATTTAGATCTGGTAGCTCTCAAGCTATATTTTCAATATAAGAATATTTTTAAATAAATGAGCACACTGTCATCTAAATAGCAACTTATCAAAATGAATGTCATACGTATGACCTAAAAATGAAAAGCTTGATTTAATCAGTTTCTATTTTATGATTAAAAATAAAACCATGCCTTCTCTCTTCTAACTTCTATTTTCCAGACAGTTGTTAAGTAAGTTTTTGTGTGCCTTTCCTTTCCTGTTTTCTTTCCCATTGTCCTCATCCCAAATCAGCTTTTCTGTACCTCTCACTCTGACTCTTGTAAAGGCTTGATTGACAATTAGCTTGCCAACACCAGTTGTTTTTTCTGCTCTAATTCACCCTTTAAAGTTCCACTTGAAGATTGATCTCTCTAAAACACATCTCTGATCAAAATCCCCTGATTAAATTAAGCTAAAAAAAACCTCTTCAGAGTGTTTCAAAATGTGATCTAAACCACTTTCCATTGGTAGTATCTACTCACTATTTATAACCTTTGTGAAAATAAACATGGCTTATGCTTTCCCTTCCTCATGCATTTACATCCTCTAGAAATAATGTGTCATCTACATTTCCGTTTGTTAAAATCCTTCCTGTTTTCCACGATTTGGCCAGAGAATAATAATGTTTCATTGCTCACACAAATGCTGTGGAAAAGTCCATCAACACTACCCATGTATTAATCTATCCTTTAAATCAATTCAATTTATTCTTGCAGAAATCAATTCTCACAGAAATCAATCTGTGATATTCTGCAAGTGTCGTTTCACATGCAGGTTATTTACATAGTGTTTTGTAGTTACGGACTTCTAATCTAAGGTTTGTGCAATCCTCCATCTCACTTAATTCCTGCTATTAGTTTTAATATACTGGATTTTTGAAAATTTGCTTTGCTAAACATGGAAATTGTTTTCTCATTTTGAAAATATGATGGATTTCCTTATTCTAGAGATCATAGAGGTAGTCTTCAGACAAAAATATGAGACATACTTTGTGAATTTATATCTTGAAATGAGTGTTTCAAAGATTTGGTTAGTATTTGGCAAATACTATCAAAAAATGGTAACAGTATTACCTTCTTACATTTATGGAAGACATCCTGATATCTACATGATGATAATGCTATATGATGAAGGTAGTTTAGTGAGGGAGCATGATCTCCAAAGAATGTTTTGACATGGTTTAAATGTGTGTCTCCTCTGAATCTTATGTTGAAATGTAATCCCTAATGTTGAAAGTGGGGCCTAGTGGGAGGTATTAGATCATGGAGGCAGATCCGTCATGAATGGCTTAGTGCTATTCTCTTGGTGATGAGTAAGTTTTTGCTCTGGTAGTTCAGCAAGATCTAGTTGCTTAAAAGAGTATGGCACCTCCCCACTTTCTCTTCTTTCTCCCTATCTCACCATATGCTGTGTCTGCTCCTGCTTTACGTTCTGCCATGAGTAAAAGTTCCAAGGCCAAGATGGAACAATTTGTAATGGCTTTTAGAAGCAAGGAAATGTTGACCACTTTTTCATCTTAAGGGGGATAACATTTAAATGAATAAATAGGTTTTGCTTGAGTATTTGAGTAAAAACATGTATTTAGAAGGATGCTTCTCTGAAAAGCACATGGGCTTAGAGTTGTAAGGAGTACTGGCAAAGGCTGACAGGGTGAGTGGAGAGTGGGAAATCTGGTTGCAGGTGAAGACTTGTGGAAGATGTTTCCAGTGCAACTTGTGATAAGGAATGATTACTATGGAAGATTTATTATCTGATAATCAAGGAAAATAGGAATTACATTCATAGTAAAATTATAAGATTACTAGAGTAACATCAGGGGGTAGTATGACAGAATTGAGATTCCTAGAAATTAGAAAACCACATTTTGTTAATCAGTGAAGGAGAAGAAACCCAAAGATCAGCCATTGAAGAGCATGCTCAGTCCCAATTCCTGCTATCCTTTCAAATAACCATAAATATTTATTCTATAACACATACTTTACATAGACACAACCAAGTGATACAAGTTGAAAGATATTTAGCATTCTGTATCCAGTGCTTGTACCTTTACCTTTCCTCAAATGTAACATTCTGCAATAATTATCAGAAAGATGTTATCAATTAAAGGCTATAAGGAGGAGCATAACTCAGGCACCATGTATGTAAATAATAAAGGAATCAAATTACATGGGTCCAAATTGATTAAAGGTGTGTGTCTCAAAGTGTCTTATGAGATCTAGAAAACATGTCTCCTTTATATTAAAAAAGAGCATTATCTTTCCTCTTCCACCAATACTATCACTTTTAAATAGTATGAATAATATTTTTAGCTCACATATTCTATGTCAAATGTAACCAAGAGAGGAATAAATTAGCAACATACATAATCATTACTACTGATTAATATACACTGAGACGTATGAGATCTAGAGAACATATCTCTTTTAAATTAAAAAAAACTTCTTCAGCATTATTTTCCATCCTCCAGAAATATGATCTTTTTGAATACCAAGAAAAATATTTTTAGCTCACATTTTCTATGTAAATCTAGCCAAGAAAAGGAGAAATTAGGAACATATATAATCATTACCACTGATTAACTTTCTGATGCATGAAGACTAGAAAATAATTTTTTATCTAAAAATCAATCACAATTTTTAATTAACGTATTTAATAAAACCATTGTTCCAACAACTGAGAAAATATTTTGCAAAATGTCTCAAAAAGAGAGAAAGTTGGAAAAATAATAGGAAAGTATAAAATTATCTATTCTTAGACATATAGAAACAAAATGCAAAATAGTATACTGGACTGACAACTGCGAGCTTCTTCCAAAAAGCACCGAAACAATCTGTTGATCAATCAAAGGGAAGTTATGTAACCTAATAAAGTAAGGGAGAAACTAGACTGTGTGATTTTACAGTGGTGTTTGTAAGGTAGGCAATGGCCTGGTATTAGGTTGCTTTTGTGACATGCTAGCTTTGACCAGGTGGACACGGAAAGTAGAGGGAGCCTGCATGAGCAAGCTGGCAGTCTTCATGATGCATCTGTTTTATTTGATTCAGACCTATGCTCCAAGGTCAAATATATTTATTTTGGAGGTAATAGCTAAGATATTTCTGCTTGTTCTCACTTTTTTTTTTACCAATGGGGAAAAGATTATATTTGTTTCAGTTCTCAGTATTCAGCGCAAATCAGAATTAGGAGCTCAGCAATTTATTATTTACAAAAAGCAATGGGCGATTTTCTTATATGCAAAGTGAGAGCAAGGCTCTCTATCCGATCAGCAGTTGTAGATATTAAAAGTAATAACGTGTAAAATTTCTGAAAAATAGTGCTCACCAAAGTTTTATTTTATTACACCCACATGCATATACATATATGGTATATATCCAGTAGAAAAATCCATTAGATGTCGGCCGGGCACTATGGCTCACGCCTGTAATTCCAGCACTTTGGGAGGCCAAGGCGGGCGGATCACGAGGTCTGGAAATCGAGACTGAGACCATTCTGACTAACACGGTGAAACCCCGTCTCTACTAAAAATACAAAAAATTAGCCGGGCGTGGTGGCGGGCGCCTGTAGTCCCAGCTACCTGGGAGGCTGAGGCAAGAGAATGGCGTGAACCCAGGAGGCGGAGCTTGCAGTGAGCCGAGATCGCACCACTGCACTCCAGCCTGGGTGACAGAGTGAGACTCCCTCTCAAAAAAAAAAAAAAAAAAAAGAAAAGAAAAGAAAAATCCATTAGATGTCATTTATGTTATAACAAATATTTTTATAAGAATGATAGATATTGTAAAAATATGACCACTATATGTAAGAAAAACATAAAAACAATTACTGATTATTGCACCACCCAAGATGAATATTTAACAATTGTTTTGTTGTCTTCCATCTGCATCTGTATATGAATCTATCTGTAATTTATCTATATAAATATTTATATAACCAGACTTTTAAAAATACTGTCTTCACTCTTTTTCTAATACATTTCCTTTTTAAAATATATATGTATCCGAATTTTATTCTAGTTTATTTTATTCTAGTTTATTTTGCTACTCTATTCCTTATCACCACTGATAAAAATGTAGTGTGTACTTTTTTCTTTTTTTAAATACAAATACTCTTGCTATGATTATAATTTTGCCTGTATTTTGATATACATTCTAAAAAGTCTTTAAGTGATCTGAGTAAAATTTAGTCACAGGGCATGTACACTTTCAAATAAACTAAAATTTTTCAAATTATTCCAGATAATTACTTACTTTCCCCAGCCGCATATTAAAGTTCTTTTTGCTCCACATCCTTGCCAAAGTTAGACCCTAAAAATTGTTCTGTTTCTAATGGAGATGAAATTACATCTCATCATAATTTTTATTGAAATTTCTTATTTCTCCTGAAGTTGAACATCCATGAATATGTTTATTTACCATTTGTATTTTCTATTCTGTTGATGACATGTTTTTAACTGTTTCCAGTTTTTCTAGTGAGTTGTTAATATCTTGATACTGATTTGTAGAAGTTGTTTACTTATGTTCTGGTCACTAATATTTGTTAGCTGTACATTTGCAAATGTATTTTTAGTAAGTGGCTTTTTTCTTTTTCAAGATGTCTTTTCATAAACAGAATTTTATATTTTAATATAAAAATGTATTTATTTTAAATGTTTGTGCTGCTTTTAGTGTTATTTAAGAAATACATTAACTAATCTTTTTGGCCATAGCTCTAACTTTATTAATTTAAATCCTTCTTTAAGCTCTAGCAACTGAACTTTTGTGTGTGGGAAAAAATATTCTGATGCTCCCTTGTAAATAGATAATTAATTGTTCCAGCACCATTTTGTGAAAATATGAGTTTTTTCCAATTGCCTGCAATATAAATGTAGGTTCTCAGGTGTGTTACATTGCCATATTTATCTATTCCTGTGTAAATACCACATTTCCTCATTACTGTACTTTGATAATATGTCTAGCTTTTTGGTAAGGAAATTCTATAATCTTGTGCTTCTTCTAAACATGATTAGTTTTCTTGTTCTTCTGTTTTTCCCTAGAATCAACATTTCAAGTCTCATGAAAAATTCTCTCCGCATTTTGATTAAAATTGCCCTAGTTTCATAGATTAGTTCGAGGAAGAAATGACAATTTTACCGTACTGACTCTTCCTACCCATGAACGTGGTTATCATTCTACTAATTAGGTCATCTATATATTTTTCTGAAATTTCTTCATAAATATTATAGAAGTCCATTGTTAGATTTATCGTTGTACCACTTATAATTTTGATTTTATTTAAATAATTTAATTTTATAAACTATATATTCTAGTGCTTTAAGACTGGAGCATATCAATGCAATTTTTAAAATTAATTAAAATCAGACCAAAAATCTGTTGCAGTCTATTTTCATATTTAATACTCTGTACCTTTTTCCTGGGTTTCCTGAGTAGACAATCAGAATAAATAATAATAACGCTAGGCAGTTATTGTCCTACTCTCTCAAGTGAATCTGACCTACATGCTTTTTAGTTTAACAATTATGATATATACAATGAACTGCATATCCATACACTTTAGTATAATTTATTGAGTCAACAAAACAATCTGACTAGTTAGATTTAGTTTACATATAAAGAAACTAAACCATAGCAACTTGTTCAAAGCAACGAAGCTGGTATATGTTAGAGTTAGTATGTAAAACCAGGCACGTGGGTCAGAAAGTCAACACTTCTAGCCCCTTTGTTATACTTCTTCACACTGCATATTAAATGTCTATAGAGTTGCTATGGGTACAGATAAAAGTGATTTGTTCCTGTCAAATATGTGGGATTTTTAGACAAACACACAAGCATATGTTCTAAGAGAGGTCCAAACAATGTTAGAGTGCCACATCTAGGTGAAATTTGTGGAGTAGGTGGCATTTATTTCATTTGTTGAAGATGTATTCATTTTCTGCACTCCATACCAGTCTACCTGCGTCCATTGCTTACTGTGAGATTTATATTTTACAGGGAGATTTAAATTGTTATAGTGACAGAAAATAAATTTAGAGGTGATAGACAATGATAGTACAATATGAAAGGGACTTTATATATAAATATATGCATATAAATTTCTCTAGATTGTGTGTGTGTGTGTGTGTGTGTGTGTGTGCCTGTGTGTACATAAACTTCACTGGGCTTGAGTTTTTTTAGTTACTGAGATGGAATCAATAGTCCCCTACAATTTTGAAATTTAGATGACAAAAATATTTCTCTAGTAACTTTAGTAACTCATAAAGACCAGGAATTCAAAGGTTTGAGACAGAGGAGGGCAGTAGACAGTGATAAAAAGAACTGTCAAATGTTCACTAGCAACTCATGAAGACCAGGAATACAGAGGTTTGGGACAGAGAGAGATAGAAAGTGAGAAGAACTCTCAATTTTTTTTTAATATTTAAACTTTTTTATGTTCTTATTTATTCATTTATTTATTTTCTTTTTTTCTTCAACTTTTATTGTAAGTTCCAGGGTACATATGCAGGATGTGCACATTTGTTACATAGATAAACATGTGCCATGATGGTTTGCTACACAGATCAACTCATCACCTAGGTATTAAACCCAGCATCCATTAGCAATTATTCCTAATGCTCTCCCTCCCTCTTCTCATACCCCGACAGGCTCCAGTCTCCCTCCCCACTCATATGTCCATGTGTTCCCATTGTTCATCTCCTGCTTATAAGTGAGAACATGTGGTGTTTGGTTTTCTTTTCCTTCATTAGTTTGCTGAGGATAACGGCTTCCAACTGCATCCATGTCCCAGAGAAAGACATGATCTCATTCATTTTTATGACTGCATAATATTCCATGATGCTTATGTACCACATTTTCTTTATCCGTCTATCATCGATCAGCATTTGGGTTGATTCCATGTCTTTGCTATTGTGAATAGTGCTGCAATGAACATACATGTGCATGTATCTTTATAATAGAATGATCTATATATCTTTGGATATATACCCAGTAATGGGATTGCTTGATCAAATGGTATTTCTGGTTCTAGGTCTTTGAAAAATAGCCACACTGTCTTCCACAATGGTTGAACTGGTTTACATTCCCACCAACAGTGTAAAGGCAGAACTATTAAATGTTAATGGTGCTTGTACAGTGAAGAGAGTAGGTGGCACTGAATCGTACAGACAATTTGTTTGGTTTAACCTCTATAGTACTTAGTTTTCTCAACTCTAGAGCTTGAATGATTCCTTATATGCTTTATTATGAATATTAAATAATATAATAAACACGGTAGAACCTGACACATTATCAGCACCTGGAGATGGTAGAAATGTAATAATATTAGAACTTACAGGACAGGAAACTTTACTATGGACAATAGATTACTTAAGGTCAAACATAGGCAAAAGTGGTAATTTTTGTTATATTGAAATGGCAGATTTGGAAGTTTTATTCAATTGAACTTGCATAAAAGATACACAGAAAAATATGGAATTGCCTGAGATTATTAATATGCCAATTTTATCGGTTTCACCTTCTCACACTTCAGTCTAAACTTCAAATTCTTTCTTCTTTGCTTTAGGTAGACCAGCCACCTCTCTGTTCCTTGATCATATTAACAATTTGCATGTTTTGTCACATACATTTTAAATGCTCTTGTCTCTGCTGTAAAATGGCTAGATACTTCTTCTTCAGGCCTCAGATTCACATTATCTACTCACTGAAGTCTTTCTTGATTACACTGTCTAATGTAAACCTTCCCCGCCAGCATAATTTTCTATTGTATCACCCTACTTATTTTCCTTACCCCACTTACCACAACATAAAAATTATTCTTAACTTACTGATTATGCTTTTCTACCTTATTAAAATATAAGCTCCTAGGAGTTATTAAACTTTCAAGGCTCAATCTATATACCTAGTGCCTAGAATGGCTCTTGAAAATAGAAATGTAGGCATTTATGCAACTAAACCACTTTATCATTAGACTGATTGAACAGAAGTTTGGTTGGATCTCTTCTAGTAGTTTTGATCTTGGATTCTCAGGAACTGATTACTTCTTAAAAATGAAGGCAACATCTATTCTGGCATGTATAGAAACAGCATATAAACCCATACTCTACAAATGTTTCTTAACTGAATTTTCAGGATTATATTTGACTTGAATAAGAAATACTTACATTCATTTCCAGATAAAATTAAGGACACATATTTCCTAAAATATAATCCATATGTACCTGTCTATAATCATGCATACATGAAATAAGTTGATAACTAGTAGACTTTTCTAATGCTTAATATTTAAGGTCACAAAATTAGGGAACAGATTTCTAATGTGGAATGCACAGAGCAATTTAACTTTCAAAAAGTGCCATTGAACTTGCTTAAGCTCTCTGGAATCAGCCTGTGTATCTAGCACATAATTGTCTAAACATGTTCATTTTAAAATTGGAATTTTAACACCTTACTGAAAAACATACAATAAAACTCCATTCACCACAATGTATTTTCTTATTTAGCAAAATGAAAGCATTTGAATTAAAGAAGAAATATCTAAAAGTAATGGGAGATAAATGGTAAGATGTGGCAGTAGGCTGAGAAAAGTAGAAAAAGAAACTCCTAAAATGGGAAATTAGTTTATAGTTTAGTGTATAGATATTATAAAATCATCAATATATTAAACTTAAAGTAACACTGGAGATTTAATAAAATTCAGTGTCATCTGAAAGGGTACAGATAATTTATTTCTGGGTGATTTAAAGATAAACAATTTTAAAACTTACAATGACATCCCAGTGGGTATCTTTCCATACATAAAGAATCTCTGTTTTATAACCAAATTAAATCTCACACTTACAATGATTCAGTCAATTCCTTTGTACTTTGCTGATGGGAGAGATAAATAAACAGATCACTATCTTTTTTTAAATAAAATAATTGGAACTCATGTTAGATGTGATCTTAAGTTTTACAGGAAGGCAAAGAACTGGGAGTAATAAAATTTATCCTGAAATATATATATATATATATATATATATATATATATATATATATATATATTTATATATTTATATACACACACATACTTTTATTTATATTTCTGATATATATATCAAGAATAATATATGTATATATATCTAAATTATGTATGTATTATTATACATGTTTTATTTAGAGTTCTTGTATATATTGATGAGATATATACAAAATACAAGTAGGTATGTGTGAATAATTTAGAATTATTGTATCAATATGGATTTACTTGAAGACATAAAAATAGATATCTATAAAGCAAATGAGAAGTCAGCAAATGCCTGGTGCAATACAAGGACCACTGAGAAATTCCTTCTGGTTACCAAATTTTTCACCTTAAATATTAATCTTTAAGACCCATAAGCAACTGAATCCATGGCTTAATAATAAAACTACTTTTGACAGTAAAATTTGGCCTAAGAACCATGGGCAGGGTTATTCTGGATTGTGGTTCTGTTTAATATTAGCAAATATAAAATTGGGCAGTGATAGGATGTGGTGTTTTGCCAAAGAAAATTTGGCAACAGACCTTATGATTTTCCAGAGCTGGAATTATTTATTCATGTCCATGTTGTTAAAAGCATTAAGAGATGAGGAAATTTCATTATACATCTACTAATTGTATAAAGCAATAATGGGGTCTGTTCTTGTGGTATCTTGAATTTCAGATGTCAAGGAAAACCATTTTATTTTTGTAGTTTTTGAATTGCTTCTAATCACAAAGTTTTTTCAAGTATGGAGGGAAAGATTCTGCCTTTTTAAAAAATCTCTAAATTGCTCCTTCATATGGAAGGAGAAATGACAGCATTGTGTCCTTTGATAGATCAGTCTCTGGCTATACTATTCACAACCACCCACCATCAGGAGAACTTTTTGTTATTTCTGTTTTGTTTTCCTCCTCTTCTTTCTGAGTTAAGCCTACTGAAGCTGACTCAACCCCTGAGGAAGGAGACCTGTGAATGAGTGGGTAGGTTTATTTCACTGGATGTGGAATAGAAAAGTTACATTGGCCCTGAGTCCAAGCTGCACTTTCTAAGCCAGCCTTATCAGTGACAATATTAATCTTTTAACCCAATATATGGTTTGAAACTCTCAAGTTATATGGAATGTGCGGCAGGCCCTCTCCCCATAATGATCTCTTATATAATTTCATCCTATTGTGTAGTTTGCTTCTAACCAATAGAGATGCCAATGTTAAGGGAATATTGCCATCATGATTAGATTACAAAAGATTGACTTCCTTCTTGCTAGCAAAGTCCCTCTCCAGAAAAATGTGAAGGAACTGATATTGACTGCATATTATGATTAATTACTTGTAGAATACATGGGACCTAAGGAAATCTAGTCTGTCTCAGATGATGTCCAGGTTTCTAACTTAAGTCACTTGATAATTTTTGGTGTCATTTTAAAAGATGGGAAATGCAGAAAGCAGATCAAATTTGGGGAAAATTTTTATAATTTTTATAATAATTTTATAATTGAAATTATTGTTTGTTGTGGCTATAGGCCTGCAAATACATTTATCCAACAGACAAATTTACATTTGAGTTTGGATTATCAAGGCTGAACATCAACGGTAGAGATATGTGCATTTTCAAATGATGAAAATATGTAGTATTTTTGTAGAAGAAAGAAAGAGTGATAAGCAGAACAAATATGTAAGAGTTGTCACTGGAGAATAGATTTATACAGATGCTTAAAATGATATATTTTTTCAAAAATTGAAGAAAGAGTAGTGTCATAGAAGTCAAGGAAGTAAGGTAGCATGACTCAAGGCTGTGATCAAAATCATGTGTCTTTCAAGTACTGTTTTATAATTGCTTGAGTCTTTGCGTACTATATCTCTGTTCATATTGTCTTAAGTTGCCTATGCTTACCTAACGGTTTGTATCCAATTTATTTGAGTATGATATTTAATTGACATTCTAGGCATTAATGTCTTTTGAAAGAGTGGGCCAGGATTTCTAGTTTAGAATGCAATATCAACAACTGACTATACAAAACTGAACACAAAAATATGCTCAATAGAGCAGAAATGTATAATAAGAAAATAGTTAAGTAAGTTTATTGAGGTTGGCAGCATGAAAGATGGTGACTTTCACTAAGAAGTTTCACTGAAGTAAATAAAAGACAGAATTTAGATTACACATGGCTGAGGAGTTAATTGGAAATAAGTAAATAATGTCATCAGGAGGAGATGAATTTCATGAATCCACAATTTAAAGAAAAGTGAAAAAGTACTGTGGCAGTGGTAAATGATTAGTCATGGCGGATTTCTACAAAATAGGAGAAATTTGAGCTTGTTATATAGATGTGAATAAAGAATAACAGAAAATAAAAACAATGAAAATTCAAAAGAGATAGAGTCTGAAAAATGTACAAAACACATCAGATAACAGAATGAGATTCCAGAAAATAATGGATAAAATGTTTTCAGGGTCATTGGCAGAGGGGATCGCATTGACAAAAACCTTATTCATTAAAACTGAAGGAAAAACAATAAACACAAGTTACAGTGCTGGACAATGACAGATCCATTCTTCAAAAATATAGGGCAAATTCACAAACATGATGCAATTAATTGAACATATTACATAAACCAAATATGCTTGTAATGTACTTTCAGCGAAAGAGGCTACGGGGTATATAAGTAGTACTATAAGCAAAAATTACATAAACAAATGCTAGCATTTTAGGCAGATCATTAAAAAATTAGTTTAAACTGTTAAATGCAAGAACCCATAGAAATAATATCAGTTTAAGTCTGGTTTCTCTGAGTTATAACAGGGGGCACATAATGGCCTCCTTTGCTCAGTGAAGGGAAACAAAACAAAACAAATAACTGTGAATGTCCCTAATTATCTGTCAACCAAGAGAAGAGCATACAAGAATAGGAATGAAAATGTTACTTTACTTTCAACCTCATTTTCTCCTTCTGTTGACAGGTAAAGAGATTGTTAACGATTATTTGATTTCAGCTGAGGCTGATTTGTCACTACTGATTCAACTTAATCAACCTATGTTTAAAGTCAGAGTAGTATAAATCAAGGGCTGAATTTCCTCCAACTTTTATATTAGCCATATATATGTATCTGTATTATCCATAGAAAATTTTCTTGAACTTTAAAAGTAATGCATCTTTTAAGCAAAACTGTTATTATACCATATTGAGTTAAGATAAAAATGAAGACTATAATAGTACCTAACACATAGGGATTGATATAAGAAAAATTCTGCTTCTGGCCAAGATTTAGAAATAGAGATTACATTAATCTCCCATCTGAACCCAATAAAAGCATGGACAAAATAAATTAGATTAAAAAAATGTTGTGCATCAGGCAACAAGGAAAAATTATCAGAAACATAGAAACACTGGTGGAAAACCAGAACTACACACAAAAAAGTGAACAGCATTTGGTTTGAAAACTATGTGACAAATATGAATGTTGTTATTATTATTTCAATATCTGTAAAAGATCATTGTTTAAAATATAATAACAATGTATTTTAATGTTTGTCACTTATGTATAAGTAAAGTGCATGCCAATAGCATTAAAACTGGGAGGGGAGAGATGGATGTGTACTACATCTGAAGTGCAGATTCAACATCACTTACAAAGAGACCATCATATGTTAAATACGTACACAATAAACCCTAAAGCATACACAAACAAAGCAAAGGATTACACTAATAAGTTAGCAAAAGAAAAGATACAAGTGTAAAATAGAAAATTGATGGGAATAGAATAGAAAAGGTGATGGATTAAAACCAATTATATTAGTTATCATATCAACTGCAAATGAATGAAACACACTAACCACAGAGATCTTCAGAAAGAAGAAAGAAGAAGTAATTACATGTTTCCCATGAGATACATGTTAAATAGATTCAAAGTAAAAAGACATTAAAAGATATATGATGTTTTTGGGTAAACTGGATATTCACATGCACAAGAATGAAAATGGACCCTTATCTCAGTCTTCATAGGAAAATTAACTCAAAATTGTTTAAGGACTTGAATGTAAATTCTAAAACTGTAAACCTAATAGAAGAAAATGCAGGGGAAAATCCCATTACATTGGCTTGGTCAGAGATTTTTTGTATATAACCACAAAAACACGGGCAAAGAAAGTTTAAAAAGAGACAGACGACTGTATTAAACTAAGACACTTTTGTGTAATGAAGGAGACAATAGAGTGAGGAGACAACGCACACACTAGGAGAAACTATTTGCAAATCATACATCAGATTAGAGGCTAATACATAAGAAACACAAATTAGATAATAATAAGCCAAAATAGCTGTATTTTTTAAACAGGCATTGTTTGTTTTGCTTAGGATTGCTTAAAAAATTTGGGTTCCTTTTTGGTTCCATATGAAATTTAGAATATCTTTTTCTACCTCTGTCTGTGAAAAATGACATTGGTAGTTTGATAGGTATAGCATTGAATCTGCACCTAACTTCAAACTATGCCACAAGGCTACAGTATCCAAAAAGTATGGTAAGGTTACAAAAACAGATGCATAGGCCAATGGAACAGTTTAGAGAACTCAGAAATATAGCCACATACCTTCAAAAAACTTTACAAAAATAAGCAATGCGGAAAGGACTTTCTATTCAATAAATAGTGCTTGGATAGCTAGCTAGATATAAGTGGAAGAATAAAACTGGACTCCTAACTTTCACCATATATAAAAATTAACTCAAAATGGATTGATTTAAATGTAAAACATCGAACTATAAAAATCCTACTAGAAAACACCATTTTGGACATCAGCCTTGAGAAATAATTTATGACAAGGCCTAAAGCAATTGCAACACAAACAAAAATTGACAAGTGAGACCAAATTAAACTAAAGAGCTTCTGCACAGCAAACGAAACTAACAACAAAGTAAACAGGCAACCTACAGAATGGAAGAAAGTAATTGCAAACTATGAATCCAACAAAAGTTTAATATCCAGAATCTATAAGAACTTAAGCAATCCAACAAGCAAAAAACAAATAACCCATTAAAAAGTGGTTGAAAGACATGAACTAAAACTTCTCAAAAGAAGACATACAAATAGCTAACAAACATGAAAAAATGCTCAATATCATTAATCATTAGAGAAATGCAAATCAGAACCAAAATGCAGTACCACCTCACACCAGTAAGAACGGGTGTTATTAAAAAGTTCAATAACGACGGATGCTAGCAGGGCTGAGGAGAAAAGGGGATGTTTATATAATGTTGGTTGGAATGTAAATTAGTTCAGCCACTGTGGAAAGCAGTTTGGAGATTTTAAGTACTTTGGGAACTTAAAATAGAGACGACTCTATCTTTTAATTTAAATACAGCCACCTCAATACAGCAATCTCTTTCCTGGGTATACGGCCAAAAGAAAAATCATTCTACGAAAAAGACACATGCAATTGTATCTTCATCACAGCGCTATTCAAAACGGCGAAGACATGCAATCAACCTGGGTGCCCATCAGTGGTGGACTGGATTTTTTTTAATGTGATTCATATACATCTTGGATTATTACGCAGCCATAATAAAGAAAAAAATCATGTCTTTTTGCAGCAACATGGATGTAGCTGGAAGACTAAGCAAATTAATGCAGGAACACAAAACCAAATACTACATGTTCTCACTTATAAGTGGGAGCCAAACACTGGGTACTCGTGGACATAAAGATGGCAACAATAGACACTGGGGACTACTAGAAGTGGTGAGGAAGGGAGGAGATAAGGGTTGAAAAACTAATTCTTGAGTACTATGCTCACTACCTGAGTGACAGGATTAATTGCACACCAAACCTCCGCATCACGAAATGTACCCATGTAACAAACCTGCACATATACCCCCGAATCTAAAATAAAACTTGAAATTATAAAAAATAAAAATAAATAAATAACAAATAGGGAAAGGACTTGAATAACCATTTCACAAAAGAAGACATAAAAATAGCCAACAGAAATATTTTTTAAATAGTCAAAATCTCTAAACATCACAGCAATGCAAATTAAAACCACTATGAGATACTGCCTCACATATGGTAGATTGTCTATTATTAGAAAGATGAAAAATCTTTAGTGTTGATGATGATATAGAGAAAAGGAAACGCTTATACACTACTTGTCATATTGTAAATTAGTACAGCCATGATGGAAAACAGTACGGATGTTCCTCAGAAAACTAACAATAGAGTTACCATATGACTTAGAAATCCCAATACTGGGTATTACCAAAGGAATTTAAGTCAGTATAAAAGGAGTTGTTTGCAGTCCCATGCTCATTGCAGCATTATTCACAGTAGCCAAAAAACATATATTAAAAAACCTGCGTCCATTAATAGATGAATGGGTTTTTAACATGTCTATCTATACGCAATAATATACTATTCAGCCTTAAAAAAAAATACATTTTGTTGTTCGTGACAGCATGCGTGAAGTGAGATGACGTTATGTTAAATAAAATACACCAGGCACAGAGAAACAAATACCCCAGGATCTTAACTGTATGTGTAATCTAAAAGTCGAACTCAAAGAAGGAGAGAGCAGAATTGTGGTTAACAGATGCTGGAGGGGTATGGGATGGACAGGAAAATAAGAGATGTTTGTTAATGCATACAAAATTACAGATAGATTAGAGGAATGTGTCCTGGTCTTCTATTGCACAACGAAATGACCACAGCTAATAAAAATATACTGTCTCTTTAAAAATAGCTAATAAAGATAATTTTAAGTATCCTAGCCATAAAGAAATGATAGATAAGGTGAGATTGATGTGCTAATTACCTTGATTATTATATAATCTATATATAAAACATCACATTTTACCCCATAAATGTATGTAATTATTATTTTTCAATTAAAAATAAAATAAACTTTAAAATTAAACAATGTTAGTATTACTCAAAAGACAGCTGAGTGTCAGAAAAAATAGTTTCAAGAGCAAAAGTTATGGCCATGTATAACAATAAGCATATCTTAATAAAGATGCTGATTAAGAATACACAAGAATCTCACATAGTATGCACCTAAATAACAAAGCTTCAAAATGCATGATGAGAAAACTGATAGAATTTCAAGGAGAAACTCATAATTGCATTAGAGATTTCAAGATTCCTCTCTCAATAATTGATACAAGTAGACAGAAAATAAGCTAAGGTGTGACAGACTTGAACAGCATCAGTAATTACTAATATAATGGTATTTATATATTAGCCCTCAACAAAAAGAAAAATATACTATTTTCAAGTTTATGCAGAGAGATCAAATTCTAGGCCATACATAATTTCTCAATTTTTAAATATCAAATTATATAAATTATGTTTTCTGACCACTATAAAATTTAATTAGAAATGAACAAAAGAAAAACCTCTAGAAAATCCCCAAATATCTGGAAGAGAGATAACCTACTAGTAGACAACCCACGTCTAAAAGAAATCAAAACTGAAACTGCAAAGTATTTTAAGCTAAATTAATTAAAACATAGCATATCAGAATATGTGAGCTATTGCTAATATATTATGTAGTTGGAAATGTATAGCTCTAATTACCTGTATTAACAACAGCAAGAAACACCTAAGGAAAACTTCCAAATACATGACCCCAGCTTAGAATTTAAGAAACTAGAAAAAGAAGAACAAAGTACATACAAATAAGAATAGATTAAATAATAAAGATATAAGAAGAAATCAATGAATTGAAAAATGAAAACAACAGAGAAAATCAATAAATCCGAAACCTGGATCTTTAAGGAGCCTGATAAAATTGGTAAACTGATTAAAACAAAAAACAGGGAATACAAAATTTATCATTATTAGGAATAAGAAAGGATACAGCCCTAGAGATTCTACAGATAGAAAAGAGATAATAAGGAATCAATATGAAGACCATTCCCAACAATTTTACAACTTGGATGAATGCTTCCTTGAGAGACAAAGATAACAAAATCTTCTCAAGAAGAAATATTGAAAAAGACAAGATTAAGATAGTGAAAAGGCAGCACAGACACTGGGAGAATATATTTGCATATTATATACCTGATAAGAGGCTTGAATACAGAATGTATAAGAACCCTTACAAATGACAATTAAGAAGATCAGTAACCCAATTTTTAAAATGAGCAAAAGACTCGAATTGGCATCTCTCTAAGGAAGACACATAGAGAGCCAGTTAGCACATGGATAAATGTTGAATGGCATTAGTCATTAAGTAAATGCAAACCGAAACCACAACGAAATTCCACTTCACACTGACCAGAATCCCTCATCGAAGTAACACACAATAATTATAATTGGTGAGGATCTGGAAAAAATGGAATCCTCACATGCTGGTAGGAATGTAAAATAATGTAGTCTGGATAATCAGTTTGCCAGTTTTGAAAAATGGAAAGTATAGAGTTTTCATATCACCTAGCAATTCCACTCCTAGATTTATACCCAAGGCAAATGAAACTATATGCCAATACAAAAACTTCTACATTAATGCTCATAGCAGCATTGAGCGTAAGAGTCAAAAAGGGGGAACAACCCAGATGTCAATCAACTACCTAATGAATAAACAAAAAGTGGCATATGCATACAATGAAATGTTATTCAACAATAAAAAATAGCAAAGTACTAAAGCATGTTACAGCATTATAAACCCCCAAAACATTAGGGTAAATGAGAAAAATCATACACAAAATACTGTTTTATATGAATCAATTTTTATGAAATGTCTAGGAAAGGCAAATCTATAAAGACAGAAGTCAATTTGAAATGGTTAAGGCTGGGGTTAGTGAGGAGAAATAAGATTGATTGTCATTGAGCAGGAGGTTTCTTTTTCAGGTCATGGAATGTTGTAAAATTAAATGCATCTATGTGTTCACATTATTCAACTCTCACTTATGAGTGAGAACATGCAGTGTTTGGTTCTCTGTTCCTGTGTTAGTTTGCTGAGAATGATGGCTTCCAGCTCCAACCATGTCCCTGCTAAGGACACGACCTCATTATTTTTTATGGCTGCATAGTATTCCATGGTATATATGTGCCACATTTTCTTTAACTAGTCTGTCATTGGTGGGCATTTGGGTTGGTTCCAAGTCTTTGCTATTGTAAATAGTGCTGCAGTAAACATACATGTGCATGTGTGTCTTTATAGTAGAATTATTTATAATCCTTTGGTTATATACCCAGTAATGAGATTGCTGGGTCAAATGGTATTTCTGGTTCTAGATCCTTGAGGAATCGCCACACTGTCTTCTACAATGATTGAAGTAATTTACGTTCCCACCAACTGTGTAAAAGCGTTCCTATTTCTCCACAGCCTCGCCAGCATCTGTTGTTTCCTGACTTTTTAATAACTGCCATCCTAACTGGAGTGAGATGGTATCTCATTGTGGTTTTGATTTGCATTTCTCTATTAACCAGTGATGATGAGCTAGCTAGCCATATGCAGAAAACAGAAACTGGAACACTTCCTTACACCTTACACAAAAAATTAACTCAGGATGGATTAAAGACTTAAATGTAAAACCTAAAACCATAAAAACCCTAGAGGAAAAGCTAGGCAATACCATTCAGGACATAGGCATAGGCAAAGACTTCATGACTAAAACACAAAAGCAATCACAACAAAAGACAAATGGGATCTAACTAAACTGAAGGGTGTCTGCACAGCAAAAGAAACTATTATCAGAGTGAACAGGCAGCCTACAGAATGGGAGAAAAATTTTGCAATCTATCCATCTGACAAGGGTCTAATATCCAGAATCTACAAGAAACATAAACAAATTTTCAAGAAAAAAACAAACAACCCCATCAAAAAGTGGGCAAATGATATGAAGAGACACTTCCCAATAGAAGACATTTATGTGGCCAAAAAACATGCTGATTAATTTATAGAATCACAATTGTCAAAGATAGATGGATGACTGATCAATTAACAGAACAGACAACTCAGAAATAGACAAAGACAATTATAATAAACTGATTTTTGACAATTTTAAAGGCAATTCAATGGAGAAAGTAGTCTTTTCAATGCATAGTTTTGAAACACTTAAAAGTACAAATAAAAAAGCATAATCTCATAACATACTTCATACCGTATAAACAAATCAAAAAGGATGATGAACCAAAGTGTACACTGTAAAATAATAAAATTTCTAAAAAATACTATAGGAGAAACTACATAATTTTGAAATATTTTAAGATTTCTCATACATAACACCAAAAGCCTGACTAATAAAAAAATTATTTGAGAAAACAGAATTCACCACAATAACATTTTCTGCTATTCTAAAGAGACTGCTAATAGTCTGATAAACCAAGCCACAAAGTGTGAGAAAATATTTTCAAATTATATATCTGAAGAAGACATTTTCTTTATGATATAAAAGAATAATCAAAAATCAATTACTTTTAAAATTTTAGCCCTATTGTGGTATAGAAATTGAATGTATTTACAAATAGAAATTGTATGTATTTAAGGTGTAACACTTGGTATTTTATCATATGTACACAATGTGAAAAAATCACCACAATCAAGTTGATAAACACTTGTATATAATTATGGCTTACAATGTTATATTTTGATATATGTATATGATGTGAAATAAATTGCATTTAGTTCCATCATAAAGTTAAAAGACAAAGGTATTAAAAACAACTATAACTAAATTATGTTAATGCATACACATTGTAAACAAATGTTAAATCTAACACCGATAGCATAAAATGTAGAGGGAGAAGCAAAGTGTGGTTTTTGTATGCAGGTGAAGCTGAGTTATTATCACATTAAAATGGACTGTTATAACTTTAAGATGCTTCATATAAGCACCATGGAAATACAATTATGCTTTGCCATTAAAAATTTAAACAATAAATTTAAAATGAGTGATTTACCCACTACTGTTTCAGTATTACACAATTTCGTTTCTGTCTATATATTTACTTTTATAAACAAGTTCTCTATTTTCACGTAGCTTTACCATTCTTTCATTTAAACTTTTAACTTTTTTTCATTTTTTTGTAAGACAGATTTTATGGTAATGAATTGCCTCATCTTTTGTTTGTCTGAGAAAGTCATTATATCCCTTCATTTTTGAAAAAGAGTTTTGCTGGGTATTGTGTTCTTATTTCGCAGGATTTTTTTGTTTTGTTTTGTTTTGTTTTTTAGTTACTTTAAGTATATCATCCCACTATCTTTGGCCTGCAATGTTTCTCCTGAAAAATCTTCTGATAGTCTTATGTAAAATGGTGGGAATGTAAACTAGTACAGACACTTTAGGTGCAGTGTAGCTATTTATCAAAAACGAAATATAATTTTACCATATGATCCCTCAGCAGATTATAAGCTCTGTTAGTGCAGGAACTATGTCTCTACTATATATAAACCACATCCACATTTATGGAACATCTCTTAATATGCTCACAGATGTATAAAACATTTGTGTCATATGTAAAGTTTTCTTTTATTCTTCAGAAGTTATTTTTGCACTGCACTTGGAAGTCAATATATTCTGGTTTTCATTGTTGCCTTTGAAAAAAACCGTTGTTTCTATGTACACGATGCATCTTTTCCTTTGTTTCATTCTATGATTTTTTTTTTTTAAACTGGGTGTCTTTTTTTGCGGGACAATGCAGTTTCAATCTGATGCGACTAGATTTGATTTTTTTAAATTTATTATTTCCTGGTGTCAATTTGGACTTCTCAAAGAATTATTTTTTATATTTCTCACATATAATTTTGCATAGCGACTTCTTTTTCTCTTTATTACTTCTGAAGTTATCTAGGCCTCCCTCTTTTGAATGTCTTAATCTTGCATTCATATTTTTCAACTCTGCATTTTTCAGCTTTGTATTTTAACATTAAGTTATATTATCTTTCATATTTTGATTTATTTAGCTTTATTTCATCTAATTTTTCGGTCTATTAAATTTTCAATTTAATGATTATATACATCTGGAAGTTTCATTTGTTTATGATTTTCAAACTTGATGTTTCTTTTATATAACCTTAATTTTTTTTGTTTTGTATTTATATATTAAATTATTTTAAAATTGTTATTTTTACTTTCATTTTTAATTAAACTTTTCTATTATCTAAACTATTTAAAGTATGATTCATCTTGTTCAATTGACTCTTACCTCACTCATGGTTAATTATTTCTTATGAATTTTAAGTGTTTTCATTCTGAGCTCATCTTCAGTGGGGCTATTCTTACATCTATATTCAGCCCATGTTGCTTGGTTGTGAGATTGTCTTTCAATAGCATTCTGTATTTTCTTCTTCCAGACATTCCAGGCTTTTCATGTTAACTTTTAAATTGTACACCCAGAAGCATATCCAATTTCAAACTATAAATGAATGCAAAGCACAGACTCAAGATTATGATATCTCAGGGGACATATTTATTCTTTCCCCAAAGTCCAAGCAAAAATAAGCTTGTTTTTCATATTGCTATGCTAGTAGCCAGACATTATTTCACCATTTATAGTCCTTGAAGAAAGTGTAAGTTCTAACTTTAAGCCTCAAATTCCCAAGGCCTTTTCTCCGATCTCATAATCATAAATACCCTAGATCCTCAACATTACCATATCTAATGATTTCACTCTCGGCCCTATTCCAGCAGTAGTTTACATGTTTATGACATTTTATGTCTCACTATGGATTTCTCTTAGTTTATGCGAGTCCAGCTCTGCATTAAATCTTTCATCTATTATACCTAGCATTTAGTAGTATTTAATTAGAAAAAATAACATATTCCTATCTATTTTTCCAGAACAAATCATCAAAAGTATTTTAAATTTCCCATCATTTAGGTTCTATACAGACACCGGTATTTGAAGTCGGCCATGATATACCTCTGTGGGTAGGCTTCTTCCTGTTTCTGCCTTGTAGGCACGGGGGCACCAGATATCTATTTCTTTTACCATGATATTCAGATCTTATCTTCCTCTTTTGCATTTATTTTGTGTGTTTTCTAGCCAGTTATTTTTCTTCCAGGAATGAGAGCTCAACATAACTGGATCATTTTGTTAGAGGCTATTAATATACCAATCTTAAAAGACAATCTAGAGCAAAATTGTTTTCACTCCTCAAGATTCACATTGCATCTGCTTCCAACAGGTGTGGTGCTTTTCTCTTCCTCCTCCTGGAGGTAAGAAATAGGCCTTTAAAAAAAATTTCCCGGTGGCCTTTGTTATTCAAAAATAGTGGGGCAGATGGTATCAGAATGAATGTGTGGATTAGACTGCAAAAGATGAGCTTCCTCCTCCAGGAGTGAACACTCCTAACTGGCTCCAGTAACACAGCTTGCACTGTGTTTTGTTTTTGTTTGTTTGTTTGTTTAGTTTATGCAACAGACCTACAAGAGGAGTTTGTTTCATAAGGTCAGAGTTTGAGTGTTAATTATTCAATAGTATTTGCAGTGAAACTTCACATTTCTCCTCCACTGTACATAATAACTAATTTGCAATAAAATAACCTACTTTATGTAGTCTCTTTGACTTAGGTTATAATGCTTAAATGAATTTGGTCTAGGAAGAATGAGCAATGGATTGAAGTCCCAAGGCATCCCATGTCCTATTTAATTTTTGGTATATTAGACTGATTTTGGGCCAATTTCAATACAAGTGTGGGACATATATTTGTTAGGAAATCCCACTTGGAAGTATCCCTATTTCATATTAATGTATGGAAAATGTTTTGAACTTCATTAAGGTCATGTTACTGGCAATAGTCCCAGGAAGCATTTCTGGCCAGGACTAAACTTCATTTCCAGTTTCCAGGAAGGAGAAAATGACCTCCTCAAGTGTAATTTTTGTAGATAGCTGCTCAACTTTTGATTTGAAATGGTTATAAAAATCACACTCTGCTTTCCACCTTCATATTTATATCATAATTTTAGTGTTTCCTTGGTCTTTTGCACAACTTTCCAAGTTAATTTTGGTTCCAGTGCAATGGATACATTATTTTCCCTTTACCAAGGCACCTGAGGATGATAAATATATTTTATGGGGGTGCCTGAATATAGTGAAAGTCAGGAATCGACATA
This sequence comes from Homo sapiens, assembly GCF_000001405.40. Lineage (NCBI taxonomy): Eukaryota > Metazoa > Chordata > Mammalia > Primates > Hominidae > Homo > Homo sapiens. The sequence goes on along the minus strand of NC_000013.11, from coordinate 89,790,570 downwards.
TGTTGACTCCCAGTGGAGTCCCAAGGGCACCATTATACACAGAGATACCCTTGCTAATGCAAAGCTGCCACTACTTCTGTATCTCTCAAACTTTCTCCACGATTATTTTATCCAATTACATAATGTTCATCCAGTCAAGAGCTCATCTGTTTCGTTCTTTGGAATGACAGCACTAGCCTTGAAGCCATTTCCATTTTGGGAGATAAAGACAGGTCTTTCTAAAGATATCTTAGATACAATCTGAAGTATGAGATTTAGGGGCCCTTATAAGCCTCCTCTTATTTTACTTATAAAGGGATGTAGTGACTGAAACAAATCCGTGGAGTTTCCTGATCTTAAGAAATGGTTCTGTGGAATAAAAATCTTCTAATAGACCCTCTAAAATTTTCATTTTCTCAGAATAGAGACTACATTTTTAAGCACACCATTCTGTTTTACCATTCTCTTATCTTTTAGAGAGTAGATGAGATAAAATTTTTAGTGAATGCCTTTTTTAGTTCTGTTTCAGACTGATGCGACTCTACATTGATGACTTAATCACAGTAGATGATGTGATACCCATGTCACTAAAATTTTCAGTAATCACACCAAAAATAGAGATATTAAAATGCTATATTTTGGAACAAGGCACATTACAGTTTGAGAAAATATTATGTGAAAATTTACATTTACAAATTCATAATATGGAAGGGACATGTGTATCTTTTGTGATATCCTAGACACAGATGTGTAAATTCATGCAAAGTTCATTTTGACTTGCTTGAAGCTGCACACTTAGAGTAGTCCATTGTAGTTTGTCGGAAGCACACAGATGACACAAACCCATTTTGAGGAGCTTCCTATTCCTGTCTCACTCTGTTATGAATCTATTGTTATGCCTATGTTATCTGGTGGGATATTGGGACTAGTTAAGGTATCTACTTAATAATAATTAGGTTCAATTATTTTCAAGAATTATTTGCAGTTATTTGGAGAGAAAGTGAGGGAGGGGAATCAGTTATAAATCAACTTTTACATGTTTTGGAATGCAGCTCATTTTTTGAGTTGATTACTCTCATTTTAATGTTCAACTGTTACTCATATTCCAGTGATTAAAGACTTGCTTAGTTAGGCCATTTGCTGTGGCCTAGGAAACAGTACTAATAAGTATTAGGTTCAGTACAAATTTTGCAACTATGATAATTTCTCCGTTTTCCTTGTAGTCCCATAGCAATGTCAGCTACAGTGTCCACGACATTAACCTTCCGTCATTTTCCCAAGGAAAGAAAGTGATAAGCTATCACAAATGTGAGAATGCAAATGGAGTTAGAGTCTATGAAACTAGTGTATCCCCACAAATAGCTGTGACCAACTCTATAATTGGGACTCCCACTTAATAAGCCAGCTATTAATACATGTAAGGATGAAACTCATGAAAGGCCTAGATTGAATCCTAGTAGCCCATCTCTACTTTTTATGTAGGGCTCTCATTACCATGGCTTATGTTGTGAAGACTAAAATATAGCTTATGTTAGGTTAGTGATACTTGTTATGTTTCTTACAAAGTTCAGTGACTTTGTGCAATTCACCAAAAAGAGCCAACTTCCCTCTGAGCAGAGCTGTGGGCACTGTGGGTTTAGTAATTCTATTAGAGAATTTGGAAATTGTTGAGCACAAAGTCAAACTTCCAGAACCACATTCACATATTCAACAAAAGTATCATCTTAATAGAGCTTTATGGATTTGTTATGAATTAATTTATCCCATGAGAAGCCACAGATTGTAGCATCAATGTGTGGAGCATAACTGGGTAGAGTTTGAAGCCTGTGCTTTCAGTTGGTGTGGAAAGGAGCATATAAAAGTACTATTCTCTAATGACTATCTCCTCTCTGCATATTGTTTGCACTCGTTTCTGTAGTATGTCCCATTAATATGAAATCATGTCATTTCAGCACATTTCTTTTAGATGGATTAGAAGGCGCCACTTTTGAATATCATGCTTATGAAGAGCAACAGACAGTCCTGTTCTCCCCTAGGTACAATTCTTTCCACATTCTTTATTTCATTTAATACAATCAAATATAGGCCTGTATAATACTGGGATTGTTTGCTAAATCTATCTTTTGAATTTTCTTCCTTTTGATGTCCATAAATTCATCCTAAATATTTTTAAACATTTACAGTATTCAGATAAAGATAAATGCATAGAAAATTTTTCATGGTCAGAATAAAGAGATGTAGTCTTATGTATCTAGTGTCTATTTATCTAGATTTTATTTTGACCTGTATTTTTAGTTTCTTGAAGTCTAGAATTCTGAAGTTATAGAATCGAATATAATGCATCAGGTTAAGAGATGGTACAGGTATAAAATGACTTCACACATCTCCTTCATTTTCTTTTCACCCTCTCTCTGTGATGCCAACTGTGCAATCTAGGTAAGAGACAATTTCATAAATCCTTTGGAGTGGATTCTAGATCAGGAATCTGAGTAAGTAAATTCCTTCTGAGATGGTCTTGACATATAAACATCCATATCAGATGGAGCCAGCCAGTTGTTATCAACAACTTATCTCCAGAACTCAGGATATATTATTTTGGTTGTCTGCCGACTTCATTTTGAATAAAATTGGCACTATTTATTTGAACCACCAAGTTGAAATAGCCTCTTTAATAATAGACAATCTAAATGAGTAGACAGCACTGCTTGTCCAAGGAGAACTTAGTCTGCCTCCTGAACATAGCTAAAGAGCCCAAGGTTGGTGAATCTGAGACATCATTCATAGGGGGAATTAAACCCATAGAGTTTTATTAACTTATACTGTCATTCAGTAGTACAAACTTCATATATTAACAAATATGTTTTTTGTTCCTAATAACTTGCTTCATTTTTTTTATACATTAATAGTGGCATTCATTACCTCAAGATAAAGAAGAATACAAAAGTAAGAGAAAGCAAAACAAAGAAATCATTTCATGGATTTTGAACTTCAAAATAATTCTTTGAAATTTACAGCTGTAACAAAAGTTGAGAAGAAAAATGTTATATACATCACTCAACTAGAGACTTGAAGTACTCAGTGAATAAAGATTATAGCTTAAAATATAGATAGAATCATACGTGATTGGTAAGAGACAATCCCCACTCAGGTCACTTTATCAGCTTTATCAAAAAAAAAAAAAAGAAAAAAAGGAGGAGAGCTGTTGAGTCTAAGAAAGGGCCCTAGCCCTGAATCCACTCCAGTCTAAATTATGAGGGGTGGGAGAAGAAAACACCTTTAGATAAGCTTAAGAGTTTGCAAATGAATGTGTTTTTTATCTCTTGGTTGAACCCCGGTGCTGTGGTCTAAATGTCTGTGTTTCTCCAAAGTTCCTAAGTTGAAACCTAACCACCAATGCTATGGTATTAAAATTCAGGATATTCAGGAGGTAAATAGGTCATGAGGATGGAGCTCTCATGAATGAGATGAGTATCCTAATGAAAGAGGTCCAAGAGAGCTGCCTTTTCTCTTCTACCGTGTGAGGGCTCAGCTGGAAAAACCATCTATAAACCAGAAACTGGGCCCTCACCAAACACCAAATGTTCTGGCTTCTGGACCTTGGACTTTCCAGCCTTCAAACTAAGAAAAATTCTGTTGGTTGTAATTTACCCAGTTTATGGTATTTGGTTATAGTAGCCCAGACTAGATACCTGAAAAGGCAAGAAGTATTGTTTTTTAAGCCATCTTGCACCAACTGGAATGTAAATGAGTTTTTTGTGTGTTCAGGCAGAGAGGGCTTAGAAAAATTTGCAGATGTTATTTGCTGTCCTAAGATGATTTTAAAAAATGCATTTTTTCTATGCCCAACAATAGTTCAGAAGGAGGTCAGAACTAACAAGAAAAATATGGAGCTGGAACAAAAAGAATAGACACAATAAGAGTGAATTGCATGATTTAAATCATCTGGAAGCATGGACAGATTTCCAGAGGATGTTATCGAGAGAAAGCCAAAGTTGCCCTGTCCTGAGACCTAGCTACACATTATGGTAATATCATGGCACTATATAGGTACCTGGAACTCACAAGGCCCATGCAAAATAGAATTATAATCAAGATGGACCAAAAATAAAGTTAAAAAACTGAGCTTAAGATTTTGCCCAAATCACAGTTAGACAGGAATTTGATTCAGCTATAGATATTCTTTTTTGTTTTACCCAAGAGCTATACTTAAACAAATAATATATGACTGTAAGTTTCATATACAACTATTCATATTGAAAGTATATTTTTCTAGCTCTCTTAGATAGCTATTCAGAATGGAAGGAGAATCACAACAAGGTTTTGGGAAAGTAATAAGAAAATAAAAATAAAAGTAAATTAAAAAGGAAGGGCTCCAAAGGATACATATTATCCACAATATTTTTCTCTGTAGCCTTCATGATTTTTTTCTTTCTCCAATATACCTTCCAGACTTAAACAATTCAATATAGTTCCAGTCTTAAACAATTCTTGCGCACCAGCCATTCCTCATACTTACTACAAGATTATCTCAAAGCTATCCAACTTTAGATGTTTGTGTGCATTTAGATGAAGCAAAAGTTATATTTGGCACATTTTATCAAAATATTTTTAAAGACATGATTGTTTATCATTTTATTTAATGGCATTCTTCCTTTGTAAAATAAGGAAAAAATTATAGTGGGGTATATAATTATACAGTTGGAAAAGTCCTTATTTTTGCAGCTTTCCATGAAAAAAATCTAAGAGCCATTTGTTTCATTGGCCTTTTAAAAATCTTATGTTTACTGATATTAATAGAGCCTTTAAAATATAATGTAAGGTTTCAACTTTTATTTTTTATATGTGTGAAGTCTTTAACAGAGAAGTCATTGCATTCAAAGACATTGATACAATTAAAGCATTCTAGGTTTCTAGGTTAATTTAAATCATTTTATGTTCCTTACAAACCCATTTAATTTTTTCCCATTGTGTATTTTCATTGTGATGATGTAATTATCACATTTTCATTGTGATAATCTAATACATTAAGCTGACCTTTTTTTACACTAAATTTTGACAAACTAGTTATAGCAAATGACTACTGGACTTGAGTGTAATTAAAGAACAACTATTGGCCAGGCGCGGTGGCTCAATCCTGTAATCCCAGCACTTTGGGAGGCCGAGGCGGGTGGATCACCAGGTCAGGACCATCCTGGCTAACACAGTGAAACCCCGTCTCTACTAAAAATACAAAAACAGTAGCCAGGCGTGGTGGTGGGCACCTGTAGTCCCAGCTACTCGGGAGGCTGAGGCAGGAGAATGGCGTGAACCCGGGAGGCGGAGCTTGCAGTGAGCAGAGATCGCGCCACTACACTCCAGCCTGGGCGACAAAGCGAGACTCCCTCTCAAAAAAAAAAAAAAAAAAAAAAAAAAAAAGACTATTTTGGTTATTTTTTTCTTCAAGACATAATATTTGCTGGGCGCTATTTAAATAATGAGAAAACCACAAAAAATCTTCACTCAGAAGACCACAGCCCGATTAAAATAAATAAATAAATGAATGAATTAGGATGAAGATTACAATGGGAATAAAGACAAGGGAGGGAGGGAAGGATTGCGCTAATTATTTTATCGATTCGACTACAGACAGAATCGTTTTTAGACTTCTTACTTAGAGCAGCGGTCATAATTCTTGCTGCCCTTCTAAATAAATAATGGCATAGAATACATTTGATTTTATTTCTGAAGTCTAATGATGTCTAAGTCTAGTCTTCATCATGGTGGCAATGACTCACTTGGAGCAGCCGCTGAGAGGACCCTGGCTGCAGCGGGGGAGGCACAGCTGGGGAGGCACAGCTGGGGCTGTGGGCTCCGTGAAGCCAGAGGGAGCCAGGAATTGGTGAGAGTCCTGCCCGCTACTGAGTTGGAGGTGCAGGAGCCCCTACTCCTGGGCACAGCCACAGCCAACCTGCTGCAGCTCCAGGCCGGCATTCCTGTGCTCTTGGGGACCCAGAAAGCCCCCTGTCCTTGTTGGCTAGAAAGTGCTTGCTCCTTCTCTCTGGCCTCTCCCCACTCCCAGCTCTCCCGGGACAGCAAAGTTGTGGGCGAGCCCGGACACTGTTGCAACCCAGTTCTGTGTGCGCACCCTCAGGGCAGCACTGACACACCAGGCCCCTGCTGCCTCAGCCCTCTCCAAACTCTGGGCACTCACCAGCTTGGTAGGGGGTCCAGGGGTTGCTGAAGGCAGCTTGGTCCTGGACTGCAGGATCCTCATAGCATGGACAGCCTGGACACCACTGATGGCATGTTAAAGGCAGACAGGTTCCTAGGCAGGAAGCGGCGAGTCCCCAGTGAAACCCCACCTTCAAGCCAGGGAAGGCCTGAAACCTGGAAGCTGGGTTGCCAGTTCCGGGAGAAGTCCTTGCCTTGGAGTGAGAACGTCATTGATGATCATTCAGCCATTCAGATACTGCTCTTTTCAGACTCACTTGTGGCCGCCCATAGACCAATCAACATATACTTCCTCCATTCTGAGCACATTAAAAAAACCCAGACTCACACACTTGTCAGGACAACCTCCCTGCAGAAACGAACTCTCCCTGCGGATTTTCTCTCCACCAAGAGCTACACACTTGCTGGGATGACCTGCCTGTAGAGAGGGACTACCCGTTACAGGTCTCCTCTCTGCTGAGAGCTTGACACTTGGTGGGATGACCTGCCTGCAGAAAGGAGCTACCCACTATGCGTCTCCTCTCCTGAGAGCTGTTCTGTCACACAATAAAGCACCTCTCTGCCTTGCTCATCCTCCAGTTGTCCATGTACCTCATTTTTCCTGGACAAGGACTTGGGAATGGATGACCCGCCAAAGGGTTGAACTGAAAGAGTTGTAACACAAACAGGGATGAATCATGCCCCCACTCTCACCATGCTGGAGGCAATGAGAAGAAGAGAAGAGCTGCAGCCCTTTGTGGAGCCTCGACTAAGGAGCTTCCTGAGCCAGGGCTGAAACACTCTCTTTGGGGCTCTGTGGTTCCTGGCATCTTGCAAGCTCCCAGGTGCCTCCATGTTCCCCTCGTCCAGATGTTGGTTCCCACAGCAGAAGCCACTTGTGGTACATCTGATCCAGCCACAGCCTTGCACAGAGTCAGCACCTGTGGTGGTGCTTGGAGCTGCTCACCCTGCCACAGCAGCTGGCATGCCTGGCTGGGCACAGTGACTGGACCACACACTTGCTCACTCACACACCCCTTGCCACTCCATGCTTGGCTCGCTTTTGGTAGGCATGGATCTTGGTAGTAGGAGCCAAGCACAGTCTGTCAGGCTGAGTGGGCGAAATGAGCCCTGCAGGACTGGGCAAAACTTGGGCAAAGGCACCACAGGCCACAGAGGTTTCCAGCTGGAAAAGTGACACTTTAAGGATTCTGTAATATTAATACCATCTTAATATTCAGTTATTTATGTTGGGTGAAAATTATTTGTGTATAAAAACACATCTGATTAGTAATATCAGTTATCACTGGGTGTTAGAAGTAAGTATAATATTTATTTTCTTCCAGATAATTTTCATTTCCTTAGAGAGATGTTACCATATAAATCAATTAATTTTCTCTTCTGGGTAGTCATATTTGTGAGAAATGAATGTATACGCTAATAAAAGAACTGACACATACCCAATCTAACCCAGCAAAATGAAGTGTATTAACTGGATGATATGCAGAGATATTTACCACAGCCTTATTTATAAAAATGAAGAGCCAATTAAGATTTACTAAAAGAAGACTAAATGCATGCAATAAATTTATAAAATGAAAAATTTATCACCCACAAACATTTTTAAAATACTACCTTAGGTCATAGAGAATTTTTACAGTATAATATTAATTTTTTTTTTGAGACAGAGTTTCACTTTTGTTGCCCAAGCTGGAATACAATGGCACAATCTTGGCTCGCTGCAACCTCCGCCTCCCGGTTTCAAGTTTCTCCAGCCTCAGCCTCCCAAGTAGCTGGGATTACAGGCATGTGCCACTACGCCCGGCTACTTTTTTTGTATTTTTAGTAGAAACGGGGTTTCACCATGTTAGACAGGCTGGTCTCAAACTCTTGACCTCAGGTGATCCACCCGCCTCGGCCTCCCAGAGTGCTGGGAATGCAGGCATGAGCCACCATGCCTGGCCAAAGTTTTAAGTATAAATTCAGACAGACATTATAATAAGCTGTTTTCGTTAGTGAGATTAAGTATAAATTTGACTTTGAAACTTAATCATTCAAATTCCCTGTATTTGTTTATAATAAGAAAATAACTTTTTTTTTTGGCTGGGTGCAGTGGCTCATGCCTGTAATCCCAGCACTTCGGGAGGTCTAAGAGGGTGGATCACCTGAGATCAAGAGTTCAAAACCAGCATGGGCAACATGGTGAAACCCCATCATTACTAAACATGCAAAAATTAGCTGGGCGTGTTGGTGGGTGCCTATACTCGGAAGGCTGAGGCAGGACAATCGCTTGAACCCGGGAGGCAGCGGTTGCAGTGAGCCGAGATCGCGCCACTGCACTCCAGCCTGGGAGACAAGAGCGAAACTCTATCTCAAAAAAAAAAAAAAAAAAAAGAAAGAAAATAAATTAACTTTTTTTCAGTTTCAAGAAGCAAACAAATAATTCAGTCGATTTTCTGTTATTAAAAAGTGACACTGTATTCTCCCTCCTTACAATTCCATTTTTTGCACAGTAATTAGTATCTGAGTCACTACTGAAAATTCTGCATAACATGTAATTATCAGCAGTTGCTATTCTCAACATATAGAAAATGGGAGAAATGAGGCAGTCATATTACAAAATTTTAAGACAAATGTCAAAATTAGATTCTAACAGGAAAATTAATCTATCAGTTATGAAATTATTTTTTCAGAATACTTTTCACAACATGTTCTCAAGAACGATTCTTTGATTTATCAAATACAGTTTTTGGCCTTAAAATGTTCATATTTTATGAAAAAATACATTAATATAAATATCTTATTTTTCCTCACACATCTTTTCTTTTTAAACAAAAATAAAATTATAAATACTTTTTTCTAGCATATTTGGTCTTTTTTTATCATGAAGATTGGAGGCATTGACTATTCTCCCAATCTTATCTCTAAATTCATTATCCCCAGGTTGCTGTCTTTTCAATAAAACTTTCACTTTTATTCAGCTTCATGCTCAGATTCTATTAATTTGTTATTCTTGTGTACTTGCTTCAAATATTCAATAAGCAAAAAAACTACTTTACTATTTGTTTACATTAAATGATATGTTTACTTTCCCCACATAATTTTCTGTTCAGAAATAAAAACTGTATTTTTATAGTGCAAAATTTCAATAAAATGGTTGAGATTGATTTAGTCAGTTAAGTAAATTTATCTGCTCCATTATTCATGATATGCTTAGCTATTCTGGGGCAATATTCCAAGTATACGCTGTTATATGACACATTTCAACAGCTCTTCATCCATTTCCTAGATTAGACATTACTCCATCATTAAAGTTTCTTCTGCAGATCTTGAGAACCACCCTGAGAACTCTTCCCTTCATAAATCTTTGAAGATCTCAGTAAACATGTGATTTGGTTTCTAAATGAAATCTAATATAATCCAATGGCTTATCATAGACAGACAATCCAAAACAAAGGTAGAGAAAAGATGTAGAGTTTTTGGGGGAGGTTGAGGTCTCATCATGTTTCCTAGTATGGTCTCAAACTCCTGGCCTCCTGTTATCATCCTGCCTCAGCCTCCCAAAGCTCTGGGATTACAGGTGTGAGCCACCATGCCTGGCTGAAAATCAAATCTTAAGGAGATATGATGGTCATTTAATCAGAATGTAATTTTTCTGTGATTTCTCTTTAGCCTCTTTGGTACTGACAACTTCCAGTCTGTGCAAAATAATGGTAATTACTTGTTTAACTGCTCTATGAATACCTATGATGATTATTAATCAAATGAATTAAAATAGATAAATATAGATATATACATATATATCTACAATATATTAACATGGAGACTTTTTAAATCTCAGGTCACGTATGAAAATTGTAGGTATAAACTTGCTAGGTCAGTGTTCAATAAATATTTACTTAGCACCTGTTACATGTCAGGCAATGTTCTAGAGACTGAGAGTTCAGCAGTCAGTAAGAGAGGCCCAGGCTTATATATTATGGGAGACAAAGAGAGGGAGAAAGAAAGCAAGCAAACAAGATGAGTACAGGTGTTGACGTACATTCAAAATAAAATAAACAGGGTGATTGCATAAAATTGATATGAGATTGTTTCTGCCTTTTAAAGGGTTTCTGGAAAGGCCTAAGAAGAAGTATTCTTGGCCTCAAGTGATCTTTCCACCTTGGCCTCCCAAAGTGCTGGGATTACAGGTATGAGCCACCACACCCAGGTTTCTTATAATAATACTGTCAACAATAATGACAATAACAATGACATTTACAATAACGTTTAAAGAACTTTTTTATATTTAATAAGCATTATTATTTCCATTGTATGAGTGTAGAATGAGGTTCAGAAGATGTACTAGTCAGTTCTCATGCTACTATAAGGGACGTCAGGAGACTGGGTAAATTATAAAGGAAAGAGTTTTACCACAGTTCCACATGGCAAGGGAGGCCTCAGGGAACTTACAATTATGGCGGAAGGACCAGCAAACACATCCTTCTTCACATGATGACAGAAAGAAGTGAAATTAGGGAAAATGCCAGATGCTTATAAAACCATCAGATCTCATGAGATTAATTCATTATCACAAGAACACGATGGGGGAAACCTCCCCCATGATTCAATTATCTCCTCCTGGCCCTTCCCATGACACATGGGGATTATGGAAACTGTAACTCAAGATGAGATTTGGATGGGGAAACAGCCAATCCATATCAGAAGGCTTAATTGACTTTTGTGGCCCATGCAGTAAGTAAAAATGATATTTTGGAAAATGAGCACTCAACTACTTGCTTTGAACACCTAAACTTTTAATTGGTGGTCTTTAATCCTGGATGAAAATTAGAAGCCCTCAAAGAGCTTAAAAATTTACAATACTTTTGTTCCAAGTCAGATAACTAAAACACACCTTTGAAATTGGGTTCTAGTCAGTGGTATATTATAAAAATGTCCCAAGTAATTACAATGCACAATCAAAACTGAAAACCACTGACTTATTTACAAAATAATTTGTCATTACTTACCATTAACATTAACACATAACATATATTGATCTCAAGTTTCATAAATAAACTATCACAGAGAACTTTAAATTTGACACAGAACTTACAACCTTGTTTATTCATGAATTTTTTAAAGCATGATCTATTTTTCTTGGTTCTGGTGAAGTCTAGGAATAACTATATAAATGAAGCATATTGTTTTCACTGATTGTTTTCCCATTTTAACTTCAATTCTTGCTTATAAGACTGTCAACTGTTCAAATTCCAGTAGTTTAATGAATATTGACTTAGTTATATAAATAAAAGTTATTAACCATAAAAAAATTAATAATTCAATCTGTAGGTCTATTATTCTTCTGTATGCAATTGTTGAAAATTAAGATACATAAGGTATGTTTCTACTTACCTTAATGATTTTGATTTTTTATCAAAAATCTGATATAATTTTGTATGTTTTCCTATTGCAAGAATATACAGTCGTCCCTCATTTGGGTATCCACAGGTGACTGGTTCCGGGACCTCTCACAGATACCAAAATTCATAGATGCTCAAGTCCTTTATGTAAAATGGGATATTTGCATATAGCCTCCATACATCCTCCCATATGCTTTGCCAACTCTAGATTACCTATAATACCTAACATAATGTAAATGCTATGTGAATAGTTGCTGTACCATATTTTTTAGAGAATAATGACAAACACAAAAATGTCTGCATATATTCACTAGAGGCACAATTTTTTCAATTATTTTTTATCTATGGTTTATTGCATCCACAGATGGGGAACCCACAGATAGGAAGGGTCAAATGGACATAAAAACTGAGAACTGCTAAGGAATGACTATGAAGTTTATTGAGTCTTTCCCCCTTTAAGTATATTAATCTGTGTATTAACTTAGGATTTTTATTAAGAATAGCCAAAAAGCACACAACCTGTGGGGAATATATTTTCCTTAATCCTCCTACTTTAATCCCCACATCACTATTTCTCTGGCTACTTATATCTGGTTTCAAATATTGATTTTTTCAGCTTTTCCTTTTGGGTTTCAAGACATAATATATTTTTGTGTTTGGTGTTTCCAATTTAATACTTTCCTGTTAGAGTTGACAGAGTGATGATCAGAATAAATACTCCTCAAAAATAAAGAAGAAAAGAACAGAAATACTCTCTCAACACCATTACCTTTTAATGTATAAAAAAGGTGAATTAAATTGCATTGATTCAATAAATAATTACACTTTAAAAATCTGTTGATTAATTATGAACTTTATTTCTTAAAAAGTGCTCTAATATTGACCTTACTTCCATTGGGAAAAATGAAAAATCAATGACACTGGTTTTCAATCCTTGGGCTAAATTATGCAGTGGGTGTAAAATTGCCCAATATTTCCTAATAAAGCCCACATTTTCACGATATATTATGTATCCCCTAGAGTACATAGAAATATATTATTTGAAAAAATAACTTTATTATAGGTAAAAGTTCATGGAGCATGAGGCCACAAAGGAAAGGTTTAAAAATTTGATACTTATTAGTAAATCACGGTGTGGTGTTAGATTAGCTGGCACCTCTTGGTCTCAGACTTCTTTTCAGCGTATGGGAGATTCCAATTCTCATTTTGGGTGTTTTTTATGTGACTATTTAAAATCAATAAAAGATGTTGTCTTGGTTATACATAATTCAATCAAATTTTTATTTGGATCATTTAGTTTGTAAATGACAAAGCAATCTTCAACAATCATAGAACAAAAAAACGAGAATTAAATTAAGGTTTAAAATAGTAAAACCTTCATTTAATCTTTCTACAATGTACCTACAGTTATTGTATCTATGTGAAACATCACATTGTATATAATCATTGTCATTTAAAAAATAAATACAATTATTTATAAAAAGCAAAACCGTGCCAACAGCTGTTATTCATTTGAAATTTAAGAGCAACATGAAGTAGCTCTTTTCTCAATCTGTTGATGTCTCTTATGCCGTGTTTATTATTTGCTTGTTTTATCTTCCCTAGAGTAGTTTTATTTTCATTTGCTTCCTTTTGTGTTTTTCTCTATGTAAAAGAATTGACATAGTTTCAGGCCGGGCGCAGTGACCTTTTGGGAGGCCGAGGCAGGTCGATCACGAGGTCAGGAGATAGAGACCTTCCTGGCTAACACGGTGAAACCCATCTCTACTAAAACTACAAAAAATTAGCCGGGCATGGTGGCATGCGCCTGTAATCCCAGCTACTCAGGAGGCTGAGGCAGGAGAATCACTTGAACCCAGGAGGCAGAGGCTGCAGCGAGCTGCACCACAGCCTGGGCGACAGAGCAAGACTCTGTCTCAAAAAGAAGAAGAATTGACATGGTTTCATTTTACATCTTCAGCCACCAGGGTGCAATTGCTTTAGCTCTCTCTGCCCAAAATTTATGAAAAATCTTTGTGCTCTAACTTGCGTCAGGAGCCAAAACTTGTAGAATTATGAAGGCCCTCATATTTATAAACAAATCATACATTCAGTTTTACCTGAGATATTTGAAGTCTCTCTATATTTTATCATTTAATCATTAATAGCATGTATTAATGTATACAAAAGGTAAATTAGATTATATTGATTCAATAAATAATTACACTTTAAAATCTGTTGATTAATTATGAACTTCACTTCTTAAGAAGTTTTACACTTCTTACACTTTCAAAATTTTCTAGTTTAAATAACAAATTATAAGTTCACCCTACATAGTTACCAAGTGCTTGGGATAAGAAAGCTCTTGCAATGGAAGTGCTAGGCTGACAACTTTAAATATCTACTAGGATAACTTAAAAAAACAAGCAATTTTTAGGCACCTACTTTGTTCTTTGAAAATGTCTTATGACTTTTCTTTCCCAATTTGGATGAATAAACTATATTTTACTTTACAGGTTCTTTTAATTAACATTCTTTACATTATCCCATTTTGCATATCACATAGCACATCACAAAATGCTGAAAAAGTCAAACATCAGGGAATAGCGTAGCTTCTACTTTGATAAATCAAAAGTGCCAGATATCATAGGCCTTTTTTCTAATGTTATTGGCATTCTTTAACATAGTTAGGACAGGAAATTAAATTATCTGATATCTGCTGCAGCTTAATAGACTAAGAAAAAAGGAAAAAAATAAATAAGGGATAAAATGCTTATAAAAAAGCATTTGCTAAAGTGAGTATGGATTAAGAAAAGCAAACCTTTATCAACAAGCATCATTTTAAAACATTACAATGACATACTTGCTCTTGAAATTTGACTGGAATTCTGCTGAAACCCTTTATTCTCTAGCTACAAACCATTCACTCTAATTTCCTCTTCATTTAAAATAGCCATTTTTTCTCCTGCAAAGGATGCAGTAGTTATGTTCCTAAGGGTGTTTAAATGGCATGAATGTACAGCCATGCAATGCACGGCTTTTTAAAAGGGTCAATAATGACAATTTATTTACCAATTCTGATGATTGAACGTGAAGCAATAGAAACCACAGACGGAAATTGTTATCAGACAAATAGGGGTTTTTTGCAAGAATGAACCTCCATTGCAACTACTCCAGGCTAACTTCAAAAGTGTCTAAAGAGCAATTGGATCATAAGGAGCAATTATAGATCAAAATTGTATCATTCTGCCATCATGAACATGTCATTGAGAAAAATATATAAAGAACAAAAATACAGCCATGGCAACAATTATACAGCCTTTATCCCATGCTGCACCTTCTAGGAGCATTATTTTTTTCAGAATATAGAAATATTTTTCAAGTTAACGCACTAAAACCCTATGAAAGAATTATACAGTTATTTGATGAAGACTGACCATCAGGCAAGATATTAGTTGCTTATATTGTGTCTAGGCCTTGGGAATCACTGTCTTAGATAAAAGTACTCTTGATAACTTTTTATGACAAATAAAATATACGACCTGTGGTAGATTGTATAATGGCTACAAGTTCATTCCATCTTTGTGCACATCTTCCTTTGTATTGTGACTTTGCAGCTCATTTCCTCAAGAGGTACAATACAGTGCTTCCCCACTTGAATTGGATGTGGCTGATGGAACATCAGCATATGAAACACAAGCAGATACTGAAAAATGGCTTGCTCATTGGTGCTTTCCCTCTAACATTGAGCTTGGATCTGAGACCACCATCTATAGCAGCACTGGCAAATAGGCTAAAGATGAGAGTTGAAATGGAAAAGATTCATGCTACTAATCTGACAGTTTTTAATCACTAGATGTCTGAGTGAAGCCATCCTTGATGAAATGAAAGAGTCTAGGAAGATCAGAATGCTGAGCTAAATATTATGATTGCTTTCTTAAGCCAACAGAACTGGAGGAATTTGTTAAATAGCAAAAGCTAACTTATACATCATCATACATTAAATTATGAGTGAACCATCTATATATATTGCATACGGCATGGATCCAACCTTTCTCAACATTTGTTTGTGTATTTGAAATTTAATGTCAAAAGATCTTTCAATTACCTTCAGATGGTACCATATATATTTGTGCATTGCTGATTGATTAATGCAACATTAAAATTTAATTATTATTTGTGTATATTTTTATATACTATTATACGGATGTCTCTGAAATATTGGGATTATCTGTAGACTATTGTCTCAATTCCATAGCACATAAGGAATTAATTAGTTTAGAAATGGGACTTACAAAATGGTTGACTATGAGAATCTATTCCTTTTTTATATTTCCAGAAAATAAATTATCTTTGAGCACCACATAACAGATAAAAATACTGTTTTGTATTATAATTCCTTTGGATGAAGTATATATATTATTATTGTTGTTCCTCTTTTTCTTCCTTGACACCTAAATAAAAGTAAGTTTTTCATGGAACTCATGTTGGAGTTGAATAGGATAAAAACAGTTACAGTGCTTTATCAGATGTCTTCCTGAAACATTCATTTTTAGTAAAGTATGTGCCTGACCCCAAGATAAAGTTTCAACAAACAAATGGAGGAAATTTTACATTGCCCCACCTATGCTCTTAAGAACTCAATAATAACAGAAATATGATTTCCAAAGTAGAGTTTAACATTAAAATATACACATATTGTTGGGAGGCCAAGGCTGGTGGATCACGAGGTCAGGAGATTGAGACCATCCTGGCCAACATGGTGAAATCCATCTCTACTAATAATACATAATATTAGCCAGGCGTTGTGACGTGCATGTGTAGTCCCAGCTACGCAGGAGGCTGAGGCAGGAGAATCGCTTGAACCCGGGAGGCAGAGGTTGCAGCGAACCGAATGTGCTACTGCACTCCAGTGTGGGCGACAGAGCGAGACTACATTTCGAAAAATACACACACACACACACACACACACACACATGCACACACACACATTGGATCAAAGTGGTAACATGTCAAGCCACTGTAAGTCTTGAAATTTACAGGATTAGAAAAGTTGACTATAACCAAATATAGATGTATTAAAATAACTTAAATACAATCTCATTCAGGATAAAGAAAATGTGGTATGTATACACAGTGGAATGCTATTGGGACAGAAAAAAAAGAATACACTTATGTCATTTGTAGCAACATTGATGAAGCTAGAGCTTATTATGTTAAGTGAAATAAACCAGGCACAAATACCTTATATTCTCATTCATATGAGAGAGCTAAAAATGTTAATATCATGGAGATAATCAAATGATATCAAGGGCCGGAATATCAGAGGCTGTCAAAGGCTTGTGGATGAGACTCTGGAACAAAGAGAAGTTGGTTAGTGGGAACAAACACTCAGATAGAAGGAATAAGTTCTAATGTTCGATAGCAGAGTAGGGTGACCGTTGTTAATAACAATGTATATTTCAAAATAGCTAGAAAAGAGGACTTGGAATGTTCCCAATGCATAGGAATGGTAAATACTTGATGGATACCATAAATACCCTGTCTTGATGATTACACATTT
Organism: Homo sapiens; assembly: GCF_000001405.40. Lineage (NCBI taxonomy): Eukaryota > Metazoa > Chordata > Mammalia > Primates > Hominidae > Homo > Homo sapiens. The sequence continues at coordinate 89,773,458 of NC_000013.11, read as the reverse complement.
TATGCATGTAATGAAATATCATATGCACCGCATAAATATATACAAACATTATGTATTATTTAAAAAATAAATAAAACCATCTCATTTAGAGAAGAGGTTTCTCTTCCCATGGAAAGGGAAATTGGAACAACACAGGGAAATATCAAGTGTGTCTATGCAGACATTCAAAGGAGAGAATGTGCCTTGCCTAAGAACAAAGACTTTTATGCTGCAAAGGCAGATGTGTGGATAATGTGGAGATAGATGTGTGAGGCTGCCTGGGCCAGATTTCATAAAACAGCGCACCATGACTTACACTGCTAGTTCTCAGAGCATATTGAAATAGCTCCAATGAACATTCGACTTCCCATGCAGCATGCACACAGAGAGAGATTGTATCAACCAGATGGTATACAAGTGTAGGCTTTTGGGCAGTGTTATTTTTAAAATTAATAAGCCATTGTTCTAATTATAGCTGAATTTGCATTATACATTTCCTGTTATTGATATGACAAAATACCAAGTTGACAGGTTTATCTCTTATTGTACTTAGAGAGATCGATATTCTGACTTCATATTTATTGCCTCTGAACTTGATTGTTCTCAGTTATCCATTGAAAGATGAAGATATATTGAGTTTGTAATCAATTCATGTTTCTGACTATGTATATGGATTGCCATTTTGAACTATACTGATTCAAAACAGAAATTCCACATTTTGGAGTTATGACAGATTCTGCATCCTACTTTAAGCAGCATCTCCATATTCTGCTTTGATCTTTTTTCTTTTAAATTATTACACAGCAAAATTAAGATAATTGCAGCCCTAGAATTTAATAAATAATTTTATTATTTATTACAAAAAGTTTCTAAAAATTCCTATCTGGAAAGGCTCTTGATTCAGAAGATTTAGGGTATAGGGGGGTACTTGCATTTTAAAATACTTCACAGGTTGTGTTAATAGTACAGATAAAAACAAATGGTTTATTAAGTTTAAAAAGAAAGTAAATAAGATCTATCACTAAATGTTTTATCGTGAATATCTCATTTAACATTAGCAAACTGATCTATACACACAGGAAAATCCTCTGAAACTTTAAGAAGATGAAGAGCTAGAAGTCAAATACTGGCTTCAGGGGAGAGGGCAGTAGCTTATGCTGATACTTTGGTTTCCTATTAGAGTTTCTTTCACAAGATGTTTACGAAGATTCTGTATCCAGTGCTGTAAGTGGTTGTGTCTCCTGGGAGACATTCTCAGTATAAGAAATGTTAAATTTATCAGGATGTTGCACCTCACTTCCCCTGAGAAGCAGTGGTAGCAAAGCTAGACATCTGCTTAAAAAAAGAAATAGCTGTAGAAAAACCTTCAGACAGAGGTGATCTTTGGGGACAAAACAATTTTGTTGTTATAGCTTGATTTTTTACCTTTGTTCTAATTTAAAATGCAAGTTTCAACACATGCAGCTGAAAATGTACCTAAACATTTAGGATAGCTTTACTTTAAGAATCAGAGCTTCTGTCTCTTCTTTTACTTCCTAAAAAAGCTATAATCTTAATAAAATGAGTTTTATTGTAATCATAATTATTAAAATTTTCTTTTTTTAGGATTTTAAGATGTTACAATTGCAGCATAAAAAACCAATACGTCATGATGGAATTAAATAAATAAGCACCTCTCTGTATTTCCCAACACAGGCTTATAACTCAATTAGTACTATATAGCAAGCGTTATGTTAGGATATTCAGAAAAGCATAAGTCACCCATGGTGTGTTACTGTAATGTACAGTGGTAAAGATCTTTGGCTCTGAGGTTAACCAGTGATAGATTCAAGTTCCAGATTTTACAACTCTTATTCGTGTGACATTGAGTGATATACTTAACCTCATAAACTTCATTTTTCTTACTTGAGATTTAGAGATAATGTTGTGGGAAGGAGATGAGGTAACATATAAAGCACCAAGCTTGATATATGGCATGCACTAAATGCTTAATAAAGGCTAATTACTATTTCTGTTATTATTATTATTTCTACCACAAGATAGGTTTATGTAGGAAAAATAAAGGTGAGGCTGTATACGGATAGGAGAGTGAAAGAAGTTTTCTGTATACGAAACTGAGGCATTTGTACTTTATGCTGAAGGGGACCATTCTAGATGGGTTCATAAGAGTGTTGATCAAATGTGTGAGCTAGAAAAATTATTTTATTGTTTCTGGATAAGATGATATGTTTCACAAGCACTGGTGTGTCAATCTTGACTTCATACTCAATAAATTCACACACTGCCAAGATTCCTATTTAGAATGATGAAGAGAATATTGAATTGGGTTTATGCCTGAATCAAGAGTGGTAATAGGGACAGATCTTGGGCATATGCCAGGGAATTTGAGAAATTCCCCTTTGATATTAGAGTGGTTCAAATTAAAAGAAAGCAACAGAAGGTCACTCCCAACACCCATTTTTTGCAAAAGTAGAGGACCCCGATGGATTTTATTGTAATCATGTGTGATTCGCAGTTTTACAAGTACCATCATTTCTAAGTAGTGAGGAACATGAAGTAACTTGGTAAGTATAATGCAATGACCACAATGTGATAACAAATAATAATAATTTCTATTGGTGACAGTGTAACAGGTACCACTATATTATTCTACTCTTTTGCCTATGTTGATAATTGAAGGAAATATTATGTTTCAGTAAGAGGATATTGAAAATAAAAATGTAATCAATTTTTTCTTATGCAACTTCATTGATCCCCTGAATTTTGTCTGCAGGATACGTGATGAGATGATTGGAAGCAAGGTCACTGTACCGCATACAGCCAAATACAGTTAACTTTCCATTTCACCATCCACCTAACTCTCTACGTTGAGTGTAATGTTTGGAAAGGGATTTTTTTTTATTTTTTGAAAAGCCAGTGAAATTTTATAATTATTTCTTCAGTTTGCACGTAACTAAATTTGTTCATTCATCAGCGATTATTTTTTCATTTTCTCATAGAAGAAAGTTACAAGGAAAATAAAGAGGAAATAGATGGAGTGTTTGATGACTATTTTATACATAATGAACCTAAAGACCTGTCTTATATATAGACATTTGAACAGAAATGTAAAGGAAATAAGTGGATCTAAAATGAAGATATGTGGTAAATATCATTCTAGTCAGAGGGACTAGGATGTGCAAAGTACCTGTGGCAAAAGTATAATTGGTATGTTTTAAGAATATCTCCAATGACAGGTAAGCTAGGACATGGGGTACAGAAAGACAATAGTAGAATAGTAGTAGAATATTAGAATAGTAGAATAATAGAAAATCGTAGAATATTAGTAGAAGATGAAAGTAAGAGAAGTAATGGGTGCGTGTGTGCGAGTGTGAGTGGGGGAAGAACCATGATGAGATCCAGGTAACAGCAGCCTTAACTCTTTTCTGTAGCTGTGTGTGTTTGTGGATGATGGTGATGGTGAACATTACATTTAGGGCCTCAAAGGTCATAAAAATGATGAATAAAATCCTTAATGAATTGGGAAGTTCTGCTAATGAATTTGATACAGAGAAATACCACAGTTTACTTTACTTTATGGTACTTTAGAAGTACCATTTTTACTTTACATTTTAATCACTTTGCTTGCAATATGGAGAGTTGACAATAGGTGAGAAAGGAATAAAGAAAAGAGAACATTTAAAAGTTGCCGAAACAATTCAGATGAGAAATGATAGCTTAGGTGGCAGTGGTGCTGAAGCTTGCAGATGAAGGAATAAAGCTTCCATTTACTGATGTAGGGAAATTTGAAAGCAAAGTAGCATCTTTAAAAAAAAGTGGGGTTTTGGACAATTAATTTTATACGCTGTTATGAAACAGCAAAGACAATTTCGGTAATTCAAAATCATTAGATTCTTCTTGCTGTGTGGTGTAACCTTCTAATAAAGGTAGGTGAAGGATGTGAGGCTGCATTCACTACAGTGTTCCCTCCAGGTAGTATATTACAAAGAACAAAATTCTCAGGCAGGATTCTGTCATGGATACAAGCATTTGTTAGCAGATGACAAAAAGTTATCAAAGAGTATCAATTCTTTTTGTGTGTGTGCGTGTGTGTGTGTGTGTGTGTATGATTTCTAATCTCGCCTTGTGTAAAATATTATTTAAGACAAACAAAATACTATTCTAGATGCCAAATTCAGCAAATTTCTTAGTCAAAGTCAGGTGGGTCATTTCTTTTTTTTTTTTTTTTTTTTTTTTTTTTTTGAGACGGAGTCTCGCTCTGTCGCCCAGGCTGGAGTGCAGTGGCGCGATCTCGGCTCACTGCAAGCTCCGCCTCCCGGGTTCACGCCATTCTCCTGCCTCAGCCTCCCGCAGGTGGGTCATTTCTAATTAATTTTCAGTAAACAGGTCCATTTCCAAAAGAAAATCCCGAGGGCCAGTTGGCTGGGAAAATCATGGGCTCTATTATTATTTTCAAGAAAATGAAGGGAATTCTTACTTAACTATCCATATAGCTTTAGAACCACTAATTTTATCACAAAATGTGTAATTCTGGGAACCGTTATAATTCCAGAAACTTCATGTAGTTTTAATCTCACACATAAATAAACTAGTTAGTTTGTCAAAGAACAAAATGGATACAACTTATTAGTCATGTGGAATATGGAATTGTGGAATTCTCTTAGAAAGAGCTGCAAATTGGCAAAAGCATATGAAATGTAAAAGAAAATTTAATAAGGCAGGCTCAGAAACTTTAAGGTACAACTAATAGGACTTGCAGAGTAATTTGGAGATGAAGAAACAACAGATATAATAGAAGAAATACAATAATATATGAATTATTTAGAACAATCTTTCAAAAAGATCTTAAGTAGATTACTTGTACATGAATAACTTTGATATCTTCATGGGTTTTTCAAAAGATAGTAGATCAACAACTTCAAACTTGCAAGGAAAGTTTAGTTTGAGCCTGGATTTCATTACCCAAACAATTTAACATTTACATGCAAGGGCAGAATTGATATAATTTTTAGACTTCGCTTGTTCTAAATTGTTAATACCTACATCATTTTGTCACAATTAGAAATGATACAAATTAAAGAAGCAACATTAGCAACATTTCTAGATATGATTATCTACCAAAATATTTAACAGAATCACCTGAAAAACTTACTAAAAGAGCATCAACACTCAAATTGTGTCTATTCCACATAAGGTGGTTCACAGCATGTTACTCCAAAACATGCCAGTTTGGCATATTGACTACTTTGAGCTAAAGACACTTGTAAAACAGCAGATGCAAGAGGGGCACTCTGACCCTCTGTTTTCTTTCCCTAAACAGGAGATAAAACTGCCATGTGAAACATGCGCTGCCTACACCAGAAAGAAAAGAATATTCTCATCACCAGAGGCAAGCAGTTAAGGCCAAAATCTGTACAAACAGACTGTTAAAATAAGATACAGATAAAATACATAAGATATAAAAAAGATAAGATACAGATAAAATAAGATACAGATCTTCCCTTTTCTTTCTTTTCTTTCCTTTTTTTTTTTTTTTGAGACAGAGTCTTGCTTTGTCGCCCAGCCTGGAGTGCAGTGGCGCCATCTCAGCTCACTGCAAGCTCCGCCTCCTGGACTCACGCCATTCTCCTGCCTCGGCCTCCCAAAGTGCTGGGATTACAGACGCCCGCCACCAAGCCTGGCTAATTTTTTTTTGTGTTTTTAGTAGAGACGGGGTTTCACCGTGTTAGCCAGGATAGTCTCGATCTCCTGACCTCGTGATCCGCCCGCCTCGGCCTCCCAAAGTGCTGGGATTACAGGCGTAAGCCACCGCGCCCGGCCTCCGGTATCTTCCTTTAATCTTTTACTATCCCACAGTTACTACTGTTTGTTCAACCTAGTGTGTAAGCACTTAGAACCAACTACTTTCTGTGTCTTCATTTTCCTCTGAAGTTTCTCATGTACAATCAGCCCTCTGTAGCTGCAGGTTCTGTATTCAACTGTGGATTGAAAATATTTTAGAACAGAAACAAAAATAATGCTACAACAATTAAAAATAAAATGAATTTTAAATGCAATAGTATTACAATTATTCCACAGCCTTTACATTGTATTAGGCATTATAAGTAAAATATAGGTAATTTAAAGTATATGGGGGGAGTGTGCATAGGCTACATGCAAATACTATACCATTTTATACAAAGAACTTGAGCATTCTGGGATTTTCGTGTGTGTAGGTAATTGTGGAACCAATCCACCTGTGTATATAAAGAGATGGTACATGTAAAAAAATTAAATAAAAAAATTATGCTTTTTTTCTTGTTAATCTGTCTTATGTTGTGCTAATTCTTAGTCCCAGTTGGAGACCCTAAAAAAGCTTTGCATTTCCTATACATACAACATCATTAGCAATTTAGAATGCTTAATGGCAAAGCATTTGTTTTATAATAGCAATACTATCTATAAAAGCTAGGCCTAAAGAAAGTCATTCAAGACTCATATAACAGAAGGTAAAAATTTACCGGTAACTAACAAAAGGGTCTCAAATGAAATAAAACATGCACTTGTTTCCAGAGTAATAATGTCAATATTATATGTATGTCAACTCTCTTGAAGTTCATCCGAAGAGGACTATGTGAAACAATAACCAGAAAACAATGGGAGAAAGAAGAGAGGCATATAAGATGCTATATTTAATTTCAAACCACCACTACTTAAACAGTGTGGTTACAGAGAGATGACCGGGTCAAAATTGGTCCAGAAATTTACCCTATAGAAAATGTTACTTTAAGTAAGACTATATAAATCCAGTTTGTTGTCCAAGTCTTAACTATGATCAATGTATCATTTACAGTAATTAAGCAGAACTAAAAACTTGAAAATGCTATATAAAGCATGAATGAATTGGTATATAATTTTTACTCCTTTAATTATTATTTTTCTTAGGTTTCTAAATTATTTACCAAGGGCAGTAACTAAATCCATTGAGAGTTTTCTAGGTTCTCTGCAATATGAGAGCACTTTACATGCATGCCATATATAATATTCACAAAAATTTTAAGAAGTAGTTATTATTAATCTCCACTTATTAATGAGAATGTAGTGTCTTGAAAAGTTTAAATATCTTTCATTATTTGCAGATAGTATCAAGTCTGAATTTGAAAACCACATATTTTACTAAAAACAACTATACTTTTATAAACAGATGCAAGTTTTAAAACAAATAGAATATTTGCAGCAGTACTATAAAGGATGATAAGGAAGTAATGGTGGAATATGTGTCCCTGTTAGAAAGATATTATAGTTTTCCAGGTGAGAAATAGAAGATTGTGCTCAGGCAGTGGTAGCCAATATGAAGATAAATGTAAGAGCTGTTTACGAGGTTGATAAATTGAACTGTTATTGTTGCAGGTATTGCTTATCTACCGTTAAAGAAGAATCCTCTGGTGTTTCCACAATCATCAGTATAAGGTAGAAATAGCCTCACAGAATGATACACTACTAAAACTGTGTGAACTAACTGCAAGAAAAAGAATCTTATATGCCTTAGAGTGCTGTAGCCCAAGTTCAGAGGATTCTATTATGTGTTTGCAAGTGTGTGTGTGAGTGTGTGTATGGGGAGTGGCGGGATTCCTTTTGAATTTTGATATTTATATAATTTACAGAGTATTGTAAAATATTTTGATTTTCTGTTATTTAAAGGAAAGTTTCAGGTGCCTGCTTAAATACCATTTCTATTGGTAAGTAACTGATTATCTTCAATTATTTTCGATCTCCCTACACTATCTCTCTCATAACACACACACACACACAAACACAAACACATATACAGAAACCTGTACTATGATGCAGAAGCTTTTTTAAAAATGATACGCTATGTCTTAAGACAAATAGTTCTCAAGTGTTAAACAAAATTGAGCTTACCTGAAAATCAAATAATATATTACAAAATTTTATTTAGATTTTTTTGGTACAAATTTATGGGGTAAATATGCAATTTTGTTACATGTATAAATTGCATAGTAGTTAAGTCAGGGCTTTTAGTGTATTCATCACCGCAAAAAAGTACATTGTGCCCATTAACTAATTCTCATCCTTCACTCCCCCTCTCACCCTCTCACCGTTCCAAGTCTCCATTGTCTGTCATTGCACTCTTATATCCATGTGTACACATTTCAACACCCTCTTATGAGTGATAACGTAGGATATTTACCTTTCCGTGCTTGTTTCACCTAAGATAATGACATCCAGTTCCATCCACGTTGCTGCAGAAGACATGATTTTACTCCATTTAAGGCTGAATAGTATTACCTTGTGTGTGTGTTTGTGTGTGTGTGTGTATATATATATATATATATATATGTAAGATTTTCTTTATCCATTCATCTGTTATAGGGACTTAATTTGATTCCATATCTTTGCTATATTGAATAGTGCTGTGATAAACATACCAGTGGAGATATATTTTAAATATATTTATTTATTTACCTTTGTCTAGATACCTACTAGTGGGATGCCTGCATCAAATGGTAATTCTCTTTTTAATTATTTGAAAAATCTCTGTACTATTTTCCATAGAGGTTGTACTAATTTACATTCCCACTAACAGAGTATAAGAGTTCCTTTTTCTTCACCTCCTTGCCATTTGCTGCATTTTTGTATACTTTTGCATACATTTTTAATGATAGCCATTCTGATGGGCATGAGATAATATCTCATTGTGGTTTTCATTTGCATTTCTCTGATGTTTAGTAGTATTGAACATTTTTTCATATACCTATTGGCCATTTGTATGTCTTCTTTTGAAAAATGTCTATTCATGTCCTTTGCCCACTTTTTAATGGGGATATATATTTTTTCCTGTTCAGTTGTTTAAGTTTCTTGTACATTCTGGATATTAGGACACTGTGAGATGAATAATTTGCAAATATTTACTCTCATTCTGTAGGTTGTCTTTTCACTCTGTTGATTATTTCTTTTATCGTGCAGAAGTTTTTTAGTTTAAATCCTATTTTTAAATTTTTATTTAGAATTTTTACTGTTGTATTTCAAATATGTAACTAAAAAGTAAATATTGTATATATTCAAGTGGAGCAATGGGATGATTTAATACAACTACACATTGTATAGTAGTCCCCCCTTATCTGTGTTTTCAGTTATCCACAATCAACTGTGGTCTGAAAATAGGTGATTACAGTACAATAAAATGTGAGAGATAGACACACCACATTTACGTAACTTTTTTTAAACAATAAATTGTTATAATTGCTCTGTTTTATTATTATTTATTGTTGATAATCTCTTACCATGCCTAATTTATAAATTAAACTTTCACAGTGACATGTGTGCATAGAAAAAAACACAGTATGTACAAGGTTCAGGACTATCTGTAGTTTCAGACATCTATGGAATTCTTGAAACATATCCTGCATGGATAAGGGGGGACTACTGCATGATTACCACAGTCAGATTAATTAACACATTCATCACCAGTCATAGTTACCATTTATGGGTGTGTATATGTATGATGGGAAAGTAAATTTCAAGTATATAATTATGTATTATTAACTATAGTTACCATGCTGTATGTTAGACCTACGTAACTTATTCATTTTATAACTGAAAGTTTGGAATCTTTGATCAATACATCCCCATTTTCCCCACCCACCAGCTCTTGACAACTGGTATTCTGGATATTCGATGTGGGTTTTTTATATACGTACTTTATTGTGTTAAGTTTCTTCTACACTTATTTTGTTGAGAAATTTTATCATGTTTTAGAGTTTTAAAGGATGTTTAATTTTGTTAAATGCTTATTGTATATTTATTGAGATGTTCTTACAATTTGTATCCTTTATTCTGTTAACATGGTATATCATATTGATTTATTTGTGTATATTAAATCTTCCTTGCATCCAGGCACAAATTCTAATGGATAACTATGTATGATTCTTTTCACATGCTGTTGAATTGGGTTTACCAGTATTTTTTTTTAGGATTTTTGTGTGTATTTTTATCAGGGATATTTGTCTACTTTTTTTTTCCTTGAGGTGTCATTAGCTGGCTTTGGTTGAGGGTAATGCTAACCTCTCAGAATGAGCTTGGAAGTGTTTCCTTCTTTTCAATTTTTGGAAAAGTTGATTGGCATTAATTTATTTCAAGGCTTGGTATTAATAGAATTCACTTGTAACACCATGAGGTCTTAGACTTTTCTTTTGGGGAGGTGTTTGATTACTTATGAAATTTCTTTACTCATTACTAATCTCTTAAGACTTTCTACTTCATGATTCATTCTTGATAGGTATTATATTTCTTGGAATTTATCCATTTCTTCTAGGTTGCCTAATTTGTTGGTGTAGGATTGTTCGTAGTATCATCTTTAGAATCCTTTATATTTCTATGGTATTGATAGAAATGTCTCCTCTTTCACTTATTTGAGATCTCTCTGTTTTTCTCTTGGTTAAGTCTAAAGTTTTTTTCTATTTTTATTATCTTTTCAGAAACCCAACTCTTAGTTTTGTTGATCTTTTCTAAAGCTTATCTAGTTTCTACTCCATTTATTTATGCTCTAATCTCCATCATTTCCTTCCTTTTGCTGACTTAGTGCTTAGGATTTATTTTTCTTTTTAGTTTCTGGAGGTGTACATTTAGGTTGTTTATTTGAAATCATTCTATTATTCTAATTTATATTTATTTTTTTGCAACAAATTTCTCTGTTAGAACTACCTTAGCTGCATCCCATAAGTTTTGGTATATTGAAAGAAATTATTTAACACCCTCACTCTTGCTTCTTGCCTGTATTTTTTGATATAGTGAAGGCATTGCACTCTGACAGATTCTAAACTTATCAGGCCAAGTACTTCATCAGCCTATTTTACCTCATCTCCCCAGTATATAACATAATACTTAGCACATGACTTGTGCTTATTAATTTATAAAAATTTGTTAAATGAATGAACATGTGTGATTAAGAATGAGAGAAAAATAAATGAGAAAGCAGAGTGGAAAAGAAGAAAAAAAGGGAAAGGGAAACAATGATAAAGAGAAAAGAAGAAGGCATGAACAAGCCGGCAAAAGAAAAAGATGGAGGGACAGAGAAACAATAGGAAGTAAAAGAGTTTAAAAAAAGAGATTAAATGCTAGCCAGAAGGAATAGGAGAGTGGAGGGGAAAAGAAATTAGTAAGAAAATATAGGCAAAATGAATTATGAGATTAAAGGAAGAGTAACAAAACCAGGAAATCAGTGGCCAATTCAACAACATGAAAGTTACATAAAATGTAAAAGTCAACCATCAGAATAATGCAAATTAAATACCTCCTTTAATTAGTAAGGAAACAAAACCATTAAACTAACTGACAACAAAAACAACAAAAGAGAAATGAAGTATCCTACTCAAATTGACTCAAAGCTAGCTATTGTCAGAATAATGACTTGGGCCAGTTTCAAAATCTTCATACCTAGTGCTCCTGCCTTTAGACGGCGAAAGTTGAGTTCTCAGGAGTCATAGACCACTTCCAGCTTGGAACACTATCCAAAGATTTAACTCTTTACTAGCATCCCCCATTTATTCAGAAATTAATAGTTAGTGCCTACTCTAGCCCAGCATCTGTCTAGACTCTTGAAATACAGGAGTGAACAGAGCATACAAATATCCTTGTCCTCTGGGACCTTATATTATAAAAATATGAACATATAAGAAATGATAAGAGTGACAAATGTGGAAAATAGTACAATATTTTCAATATTGGGAAGTGCTATTAGATTTAGATCCATGTCAAGGGGATTAGAAAGTGCAGTCCTTTCAGTAATCACAGCACTAAGAATAATGAAACGAATATTTAGTAGTGGCTAACTAAATCTTTCTCTAAAAGCTATTGTACAGTACCTTAAATATACAGATGTTGAATCATGTATTGGACTTACAGACAATTCTAATAATCATTCTCTGTACTTCATTATTTTGTGAAACAATTATGTTTTTAAAAGAAAAAAAAAACAGAGACGCCAACAAGAATAATTAAGACAGGAAATAATAAAACTATGGAAAAAATCCTACAATAACTATTGAAAAATTTGACTATAAAAATAAATACTTGAAATTAAGAAACATAGTATGAAAAATTACAGTCAAAACAAAGTGAGAGAGACACCTGCTTCTGACCTATATGAAGTAACAAGGACAAGATTTATTTTTCCATCTGAACTAACCAAAATAAACAGACTATATATACATATATATGTGTGTGTGTATGATTATATTTGTATATGTGTATATGTATATATGCATGTATACATATAAGCACATGTGCATATAGTGTATATATGACACATACACATATAACAATGTCTAATATACACACACTATATATGTACACACATATATATTGTAGAATTGAGATGTATACATATATGTGTGGTTTATATATACACGTGTGTGTATATATATATACATACACATATATGTATATATAGTAATAATCATTAAGACATTGACATCAGGCAACAGTGATCCCTAAGGGATTGAAGAAAAGCTAAATTCTACAATTGCCCCATCTTACTGCTTTTAGAGAGTTTCCAGGATATGGCAGAGGGAAAGGTAACTCAGACATAGTCCAGATGATTTTCTGTGCTAGTCACAGCTTAACGTCTGGGGAAACCAAGGCTGCTGAAGTTTCCAGGACAGAGTACAAGAGAGGCAAATGCTTCACAGAAAGAAAGCCCCAGATATCTGACAAAGGACCCTGTGAGTTTTTAGGTGAGTACTCATCAATGCAAAATATGAGGAACTACCTGAGAAAATTGAAAGAATCATCCGGAATTCACAAGGAACCAGAAATAATGCCAGTTCCCATTACCAGATAGGTTAAACTTCACATTATTGGGGCATTGAATAGGAGCAAGGATGATCTTGCCTCACAAGTGAAGAATAGCCAGCCTTTAACTGAGCAGTGTTCTAGAACTGCCTAAGAAATCATGTAAGCCAGACTCTAAAAGGATGAAATATTTTCCAAGTAACTTAACTTTATTCCAGATTAAAACTGAATAATATTTATAGGAATACAAAAATATCTAGGGTACAACAAGTAAACCTCACAAATCTGACAATACATCAAAGATAATCAACATATAAAGAATAAAAGAGCCTAATCCATAATGAAAATGAGAATCGAATACATAAGACAAACACAAAGATCATACATGCATGGATGTTAAAACTAGAAGAAAAACACATTAACACACTATTATAACTGCATCTCTTATGTTCAAAAATTTAGGAGTGACAGGAAAGATATGAAAAGACCCAAATGGAACTTTCACAGATGAAAATTGCAATGTCCAAGATGAAACAAAATGTACTAGCCGGGTGTACTGGCACGTGCCTGTAATCCCAGCTACTGGGGAGGCTGAGGCAGGAGAATCGCTTGAACCTGGGAGGCGGAGGTTGCAGTGAGCTGAGATCATACCAATGTACTCCAGTCTGACGTAGACAGAGCGAGATTGTGTCTCAAAAAAAAATTAAATTTAAAAAATGGAATAAATAAATAAAATGAAATACAGAGAAAATAAGAAATTTGCAAAAAAAAAAAAAAAATTGAAAAGAGCATCAGTTAGCTGTAAGAAAATTCCAGTTGGTTTAATACATAAAATTAGAGTTTCCACAAAAGGCAGTGTAGATGGTGATGCACACAAAAATATTTAAAATAATGATGTCTTATATTTTTCCAAATTTTATGAAAACTATAAAATCACATATCAAAGAAGATTAACAAGTATAAAACACAAGAACCTTGAAGTAAATAACTGCACTACATCATTAGCAAATTTCTCCACATCAGCTATAAAAATCTTAAATCATTCAAGGAAAATATTAGCTAGTTACAAACAAACAAAAGTAAGAACAAGAGGAGCATTCTTACCAGAAACAATACAATGGAGAAGATCATAGATCAACATCTTCAAAGTACTGAAAGAAAAAACATGTCCAACTAGCATTCTATACTTAGTGAATATCTTTCGAAAATTAAGTCACAATGAAGATATTTTCAGACTCACAAAAGGTAAGATAAAATTATTAACAGTAGACCTGCATTATAAGAAGTGTTAAAGAAAGAACACTAGAAGTTTTCAAGTACATTGTAATTTTAAAAGTTAATTTTCTTATTATATAATCTCTTTGAAACATGGCTGCCTTTCAAACAAGTACAACATATTATGCATGTAAGTGTATTAATACTTAAAATATGACAACAAAAGCAACAAGCTCAGGAGAGAAAAAATGAAAGTATACTATTACAAGATTTTTACACGATATGTGAATTTGTATAATGTCACCTAACAAACTGTAATAAATTTAAAATATATTCTCTAGATCCTAAGCAATCACTAAAATACCAAGAAAAAGGAAAAATGAACCAAATGAAAAATAGATGGTAAGACAATAGACTAAAGCTAACTTTATCTAAAGTTATATTATGTGTAAATGCTTTAGCCACTTAAATTATAAGGCAGAGACTGCCATAACGGATGAAAAGGCAATACCCAACTATACAATGCCTACACAAATTGCATTTTAATATAAATACAAGTTTAAAATTAAATGATTAAGAAAAATACCATGCTATCACTAGTTAAAGGAATCTGTTGAGTCTATATTATCAGTGGAAGTAGGTTTTAGAGAAGAAAAATATAATTAGGGATAAAGAGGGTTAATTTACAACAAAAATTCAGTGAATTCATCAAGAAGGAAAAAGAATCATGAACTTTTATTTACTTAATAAAAAGTTTAAAATATACACGAAGTAAAAACTGACAGAACTGAAAAGAAAAAATCTATTGTTATAGTCAAGAAATACAACACCTCTTCTTAGTAAATAACAGAAAAAGTAGACAGACACAATATAAAAGATTTTAACAATACTTTCTGTCTTCCCAATAGCAGCTAAATGTGCATTGTTTGTAAAGTGCTTATGAAACATTTATCAAGGTATACCGTATTAAAGGACAATAACATATTCCGATAAATTTCAAGGATTTTGAGCTAAACAAAATGTTATCTGACCATAAGAGAATCAAATTAGAAATCAATAACATAAAGAAATCTGGAGAAATCTTGAAATATATGAAAACTAAATAGTACCTATATAAATAATGTGGTCAAAGAATAAGTTAACATGAAAATTAAAAATTATTCACGGGATATCTCAAAAGTAATACTTCGTTGGAAATGTATACCAGTAGATATTCACATAATAACAAAAGAAAGTTCTCAAATAATGGCCTAAGCTTCCACCTTAAGATACTAGATTTTAAAAAGCAAATTAAGCACAAATTGAAAATAAAAATAATAACGACTAAAGCAGAATTCAAATAGAAAATGCAAAAACAATAGAGAAAAATGAAACAAAAAATCTGGCTCCTTGAGATCGATGGTTTATTAACCTGTAGCCTTAACAATTAAAGATTAGAATTAGAATGACATTACATTGATTTACTTTCCCCTAGATAATCAGGTAATCAGTCAGTTTTCCTTGGGAATTTCGAAATATATCTAGTGTCTTCTCATCTACTTGGGAGGGAGAGTTTTAGATGTAAGGCAGGGAAAGGTGGATTTAGTGTCCTCAATATACAGTATGTGGACATTCTCTTCATCCTGCAGATTTAAATTAGTGCTCCCTGTACCACCTGCATTGGTCCTTTGGGTTTGTGAGTCTAGGAACAGTCTTGTTTTGTTTCTCTAGAAACTATATTCCAAGTATTCTATGGGCCAATGCTGCATAACCAAAGGCATTTAAAAGACTTACAAACAATTGGATATTTTCACACACCATATCTCAGCTACGTACTATGATACTTGGTATATTTAATTCCTGAAAAATGGTAAGTTCCTCAAGGTAAATCGCCTTGCTTCTCTTTGTTCTACCTTTCTGCACTCTTGTATGTTTTAAGTTCTCCCAGTCAATAAATTACTTACCATTCCTCTCATTTGATTTATTTCTACACAATTCCAAATGTCTCCAGTTTCATAAAATGTGTGGCATTTGTGATGCATCCCCTAATACTCATTACTTCTTTGCATAGTTTTGATGTGGTTTTCAGGTCCTGACAATGACATTTGTAGAAATTTCTCCAATATTATCAATCACACTGAGTCATGCTCTTTAGTTTCCTTTAATCCAGAAAAGTTTGACAGCCTTTCTTTGTTTGTCTTAATATTTTTCCTTTGAAAAGTGTAAGCCAGTTGTTTCATGGAAACTTAATTTGAGTTTTAAATGTGTCTGCATTATTAAATTCATGTTATTTAGCAGGGACACTACAAAACAGAATTCTTTGTTCTCTGCAGTGCATCACATTCCAAGGTATATGATTACAGTTTCAATATTGCTGATAAATTTTGAGCTCTTGAATGAGGTAATATCTGTGAGTTTTTCCACATTTCATTTTCATCCTTTTTAATAAAAAATAATTTCACTAATACAATTATCCTGTTTGTTATCAAATTTATGAACCAGTAGTTTTAGCATTCATTAGCAAAACTTGCCTGAATTCTTAGAAAAATTGTTGTAACTTTCACTTTTATAATTTTATCATTATTTAATATTTGTTAGTTGGCCTTTTCTATTCATTTATGATAGTTTTATTTAATTTTATTTAATGTATTATAAAGTATGACTTTCATTATTTGTTTAAGTGCTCAAAATTGTTGTAAATTTGCAGTGAATGTTCCCTTAAGTTTCCTTCTGTGTCTTTTTGTCATGATCTCAGAATTATTAGCACATTTCCTTATTTTGCAGGCATAAGAATTTTAAGGCTCATTCAAAACTATCCCTTTACCAGCCCTACAATCAACCATTACTCTAAGGAGCACTAATTTCATTTAGTGACCTTCTGGAAGCCAATATATTGAATTATTGTACTTACTGCTACAGAAATAGCTAAAATTATATGCATATATACATATGAATGTATATGTGCATGTACATCAAGAATGAGTTTATATTGATGCCTCCAAATTTTTAATTTATACTCCAAAGTTATTCTTTGCCTTTTCTTTTTGTCTCTTTCTTCTCACACTGTTAAAACTTCAAATGTTTACTCACTTGTTAGTGTTGCAGTCTGTTTAGTCCCTAGTTCAACTAGGTCTGAGTTCTTGTCCCATGACCAAGAAGAATAAGGCAAGTAGCCACTAGAGAGTGAGTAGAGTAGGGTAGGATTTATTAAGCAAAATGAAAGCTCTCAGCAGAGAGGGGTCCTGAAAGAAGGTTGTCAGAAACAGGACTGCGTTCTGTATCTTTTATGTGGCAGAAGCCAGGAAGTCTTCTTTGGGTTTTGCCCTAACGGGAGAGGTAATGTTCTGTCCTAGGGGTGTTGCATCTGTGCATGCCTGCTGTTGGACAGAGTGACTCCATCTCAGTTATTACCCAGGAGTGCCTAAGTGAAACTCAAGGCAGGGCTAAAACCACAATGCTAATGTCATGTTAATGACATTATAATGAGCTGGGTCAAGTTAAGGACATTTAGGTTAATTTATTGCAACTGCACCCAAGTTGGGACAGTCCCTTCTGAGCAATATCCTGGCATAAGAGGAAGTTCTTCACCACATTTCTTCCTGTTTGATGCAGAGACAGTATAGGTACTGTCCTTTGGTTATTCCAGTGAACATGACCTTCACTATCCTTCTCCTGAGACATTCCCTCTCTATTTGTCTAACCAGCCACTAACTTCTTCCTCACTCACTAGTACTGTAGTATTCACAGTCACATCATTGCTGAACTAATAACACGAACCAACTAATTAGAATTCAATATTGATTTATAGTTGTATTTGTCTTTAGCCAAAGAGTACATAGTCAAAGTATTATATTCAAAACCTACTTGTATTCATATTCTTTTCTTCCATACCATTATTTTATTCAGTTGATATATAGGTAAGTTCATTTGATTGTTTTCAGAATATACATTTTATTCCCTTTAATAAAGACTTAAATGTATACTTTTAATTCAAGACAAAATATTTTTAATGCAAGACGTAATATTAGGATGATCATCACTAAGCATATGTTATAAAATAATCTTTTTCTATAGCTGTATATATTTTATTTTAAAACATTTATAGTTTAGATGACATGAACATAGTGAAATACAACAAAATTTTTTAGTTCAACTTTCTAAGATCAGTTTTCATAGTTCTCTGAAATAGATGAACCATACAAATGATGGCCTCTATAACTTTTGAAACAACTTTTACACATTTGAGTGATTCAGATCCCTATTATCCAGCCAAATTTTTGAAAAATTTCATTTTGAAGAGCGAGGCTTAATTTGAAACTGTGTTGATCTTTGAACTTAGGACACATTTCAGAAAAAGGAGGGTTTCACATGCATAAAATTGATTTTTTGCAATAGCTTTGATGTGTAAATTATATTTAAGTATTTCCTTATAGCTGAATTAGGACAGATGCATGTGATGAATACAACAAAAACAGAAACAGATGGCATACCACATGTATAACATCTTAATACATCTCTTTTTATGTAAGACAATTAGCGTAGCAAGTATACTATATTTAACTGATTTTCTTAGAATTTTCTGTTTCCTCAAAGGAAGGAACAAAATGGTTTTTTGAAATGTACCATAAATATGTATACCTTCACACAGTGTTTTATTGTTATTGTTATTGTGATGTACTAACTTTCCCAGTTAAACACACTCACACACACATACACACACACTACATTTATCAAATTTGTGTGAGAAAATGTAGTTACTGATTGTCTACTAAAGTAAGTGCTGAATAAGGTAAGTTTTATGGGAGAATACATATATTTTTTCAAAAAGAAAAAATATTTATCTCACCATAATTGCAAAAGAAATATATGTGTAAATCCCTTTGTGTTCCTATAATTTATTTTCATTAATGCTTTATGAGTATTAACTTTACTACTTATTCCATGTCAGAACACTTTGTTCCATACATAGAAAGAGCAAATTTAAATGCAGGATGAGTTTAGCTTTGAATATGAAGAAAAAGTTAAAGAGAGAATTAGGGCAATTATATGAAAAATACAAATGCCTAAAATCTTCCCAGGCTATTGAGGATCAAAAAGGATTTGAGCTTGGATTATCCAGATTGATAAAATTGATTAAATAATTCCTCAATTTTCCATTTGAATATCATTGTGTGATTACAGACTTATTAAATTAATGTTCATGACAAGCTTGATAATTTGGGTCACCAAATCCTCTTTTCCTCCATAGACATTTTGACAGTTGCTTCAATTTTCTTTTCATTCTTTCTTGTCCTAAAGTATAAGCATATGGATTATTTTGTAATACAGTCAAATAATATTTTTCTACAAAATATAAAGCATGTGTAACCTTGGGAACACCTAAATTAGTTTCAACTTTTCATCAAGTTTATTGCTGCATTTTTTACTAAGCTACAGTCTCAATATTTAAGCCATTAAGCAACCTTATATTCACAAAATTAACCAGTTTGTGTTTGAAAGTTTCAGCATGTAGATATATTCAGTGGTCTCTTAATTGTAGCGTCTCACTGGTGTAGATGTTGTGATAACATCCTGTTTGTTCTCACTCTATGTATCTATTTGCATACATATCTATGTAATCTCATTACATAGAGATTTTCTGTTAGTATAAATAGATGGATACATATAAATAATATACATGTAAATGAACATATATAAGTATATAAATATCAGTAAACATGAAAGAAAATGTTATTTAGTATAAAGTAGATTTTATAATTGATTTTCCTGAAAGTGTTATGAATTTTTTTCTTATTAGAATAAAAAAATTAGTAGTAAGAGATATACTATTTACATGAATGGCCATACAAAGTGACACTAATCATTACAAAATAATATATTTTTAAGGCAGAATTACATTCAAACAACATAAAACCTGATCTTGAAAACTGATTTTTTCTATTAGTAGACTTACTGCTTGGAAAATATGTTGACTTTTTTGGTCATTTCAGCTAAAGTTTACTAGAAGAATGCAAATTATTGTAAGCATGAGGCAGAAGGCTGATGACCAGATTAAAAACCAATCAAGCTAATAATGAAATAATCTGCCTAATATTTTTTCTTTCAATGAGAGCATTTTTTTCATGTTCACCACACAACGTTAATAGCTTTCCTGCTACAGCAACATTTGCAATTACAGATAAGGTATGCAAACATGTTTGTACTCTAGTAAGGTCTTTAAGCAAAAAATAATGTTGTGCTAATATCATTTTGTTTAAGAATATGGAGCGTCACTAACTTGGTTTTCATTTTAAGGTAAAAAAGTGAGTAATTAGTCATGACAACCTGGTATATGAAACATAATTATAAAGTCTTCCAGCAAGCAAGTCTTTTTCATGTTTGTATAACGCTTTCCTAAATTAAAATATAATGGGGCTTGGAACATAATTAAGATAACACAAGGCAAATATCTCTCTCTCTCTCTCTCTCTCACACATATGTAACAAACCTGCACATTGTGCACATGTACCCTAAAACTTAAAGTATAATAACAATAAAATAAAATTAAATTAAAAAGAAAAAGAAAAAAATACTACTTTGAGATGATTTCTTCATTTAGAAAATCACAGATTATAATTATGTTTATTGAAGCATGATTTATTTAAGACAAAATATTATGTATAACATGCCTTCTGTACTCATGGCAAAGTTGGAGATTAAGCAGCCCAAAGCAGATTTCTCTGAGATATAAAAATTTGAATCATTTATTCAAATGATGTAATCATACAAATTCAAATCATATTACATTTTGTTCTGAGAATGGACTAGTAGCAAGAATTACATGTGGGCTTTAACATATATTACCTAATTAAATTGTGGAATTCAGTCAGAGCCAGGAATGCAAATAAGCATAACAGTAAAGTAAATAATGATACTCATTTACTCATCAAATATTTATTGGGCCCTGCTAGTTGCAAGGCATTGATTTGCATACTATAAGTGTATCATAGTTAGATTCAGAAATAATGAAAACTGAGAAGTCACTGGAAAAGTGAGAGACTTATGAAGTGCTCCAGGAAAACAGAGGAGATAAATATAATTAAGGATTGAATGAACGAGGTCAGCACATCTGCATTAATGTGAGAGAAGGAGATTCTGCTCACTTGAGAATTTTTCTTTTTTCTTGTAGAATAAGAGATATTGGTATATACAAGTGAGGATGATGGAGACAAAAAATGGAAGTTAAGATACAGATGTAAAAAAAAGGCATAAAGTGTATAAAAGAAAATAATGTATGTTTCATGGTTTTTATTATTATTAAGTTTTTTGTTTTGTTTTGTTTTGTTTTTTTTAGTTTTGGACTTTTCCAAAACCCCAAATACCAGCTGGAACTAAAATGGTAAAGGGTGAATAAAATCTTGCATGTAATTTACATATTGCACATATGCCATTTTTGCCATCCAGAATGTATTCACTCTTCTTCTGGTTAGAAAGTACACAGTGAGGACTTCATGGGAATACAGCCTGTGCAGTACAACAAGGCCCCATACTTGTAAGAGTTCCATGCTTGATTTAAGCACGTCTAAAGATCATTAGATTTTCTTTTTAACAAAGGATCCTGTGCTCTCATTTTTCACTGGGCCCTGAAAATTGAGTAACTGTTTCTGATATTATACGTGATTTTCTTGGTGGAGCATAAGGCCTACTCTCCTTTCAGTGGGCCCTGACAGCTTAACGTGTTAGCGTAATTGTATTCTCCTTGAGCTAGAAATTCCTGGGAACACCAGGCTGAATCATGGCATGAAAATTAGGCCTAAGCTGATTGATTGACTTTTTAAAAACTATTTAGTATTCTGAGCTTTCTCTTCTCCATTGAATGAGAAGTAAGGGGCTGTGAGATCTGCAACTAATGCAGTTGTCTTGAGGTCACCATAAAAAAAAAAAAAGAAGCCTGTCTGAGATGGAAGTCAGCATACAGACAAGAAAAGAGTGGAGCCATAGCTTGTACGGGTTCCTGATGCATAAGGAAAAAAAAAAAAAAAAAAGAATGTCCTGCACCTGAAGCCTGACAAACTGCTAAACATTTTCAATTGAGACAATGAATTCTCTTTTAGCTTCAGTCAGGTTTAATGACATTAATCTGACCCTTAGAATAGAAAGAATCCCTATCAAAATACATTCAACAGAAGTCTGAAGGGAAAACATTTCATTTGTATTTTATTTTTAACAAAATATCTTACAGAGAATTAGGTAAGTGGCCACTCAAATTGCAACTCAAATGAAAAACCTTTATTCCAGTGATGAAAATACAATAGAAAAAGAACTGCTGTGGCTGAAGAAGGGCTGTGTCCCATCCACCACACTCTGCATCTTCTTGAGTGGTCTGAGAAAATGCACCTTGGGCATGCAACTCCATAAAGCACAGTTTCAATAGTTCTTATGTATCCATTCATTTTGTATCAAATCAGTCTACTCACATTTTCTCTCTTTCTTTATCTAGATTTAGTAGCATAGTTTATCTTACATTCTGAAAGAAATTAAGATATTGCTTTTTCAATTGTTTCATCATCTGTGTATTTCTCCCTTACAAATTGCATTTATTATATCCTTGTGAGGTTGACAGTGATTTATTAAGAGACTAGGTATAAGTATAGATCTTTACCAGTCTAGGCACCCATTTAATAACTGTCTACACAGGACAATATAACATATTTGTTGGTTAATGCCATGAAGATGTAAAAGATAAAAGTTCCACTACAATGGAGGAATAATATCCATCGATTTTTTTCACAGAGGATGTCTGTCGTTCTTAAAACTCAGCTTTTTATTACTTCCAAGTCATGCTAGTATTTATCTTATTCTGTTTACATTTGTATTGATATGACCAGTGTAGCTAGGAAAATGTGAACACATGTAAGAATGTAACTTTAGGCTGTGAAACTGGAAGCAGAAATTCTGTGATGCAAGAGTCACATTTTTTCAAATGTATTCCCATGTGTCATTAAGTCTTAAGATGCCATCGATTGTAAGACAGACCATTATTATAGGTAATACTAAGAAATTTTTAAATGCAGCTTATTAAAAGTGAATCACTTGAAAGACACCTTAAATATAAAAACTATACACAACAAAGTTAAGGGAATATCATAAATAATGGAAAATTGTTTTCAAATAAATGTTAATATTTCTACCAGAAATGCATCAGAGGACCAGGTTCTATTTGTCCATCCCAATAGTAGAGGTTGTCTCACTTTAATTTTGGCCAATCTTTTCAGTGTATAATTGTGTTTCTTTGTAGCTATATTTACATTTTTCTTCTTACTGATGAATTAAAGCATACCTTCACATGTGTATTAGTCATTCATGTTTCCTCTTCTGTGGGTTATACATTTTCTTTAACACACTTTTATTGACATAGTTGTTCCCTTACTGTTTTGTCAGAATTGTTAATGTATGTGAATTATGTTTTAGTTATGCATGTTGTAATTATTGTTGCCCAGTTTGGGGCTGAACTTTCAGCCTCTCTTTAAGGATGTAAGTTCTTCATATTAACAAAGTCAAATCTATTCATCTTTTCTTTGTGGTTTCACTTTTGGATCCTATTTAAAAAATACTTTCCTATCCCAAGGGCATAAAATATTATCTTACATTGAAAAATGTTCTTTTTTTCTCTTTTTTTCCACTGTAAATAAATACAAAATTATATATCAAACTGTATTATTTTATAGCTTCACAGTTAATCTTGATATCTGTAGGGCACGTTTCCTCATGTTGATCATTTTCAGAAACATGCATTGTCCCTTCTTGGCTCTGGGTACTTCCCTACATATTTCAAATTCCATAGCATGTTTAGAATCTTCACCAAATTTCCTTAAAAATTAATACATTTTATATTTCTCTCCAGAAATAACTATTCATTGTTTATAAAACTCATTTCTACATGCCTTCAATATTTTTGGGTGTGCATCGATTGTAAATTCTATTTAAGTAACAATTTTGCATGTAATTTTAAAAATAAGCTGCTTTATTGCTTCTATGTAGTAAATCAATGAATTTATGTAGTTATGTCTATTCAATATGCTGACCTTTTCTATTAATTTTAATAATTTATAGATTCTTTCATTTCTGTATGTGGAAAACCTTATTTCACAAGAAGATGTATGGAAGAATTATTACATTTTAAATATTTAAAAACTATCAAAAACCCAGTTTCAAGTACTTATCTCAAATGGATAATGGGCTAATATACCCCACCTATTCCTGTGATTTGTATACCATTCCTCTCATTGCACAAGAATCTGGGAAGTTTACGATTCCCAGGAAAGTGAAGAAGGATATTAAGCCCCTGGCCAATTTTAAGCAACACCTTATTTTCCCTAACCCACGTGGACCCTTGAAGTCTCCTATTTATGCTATTAGTTGGTGCGAAAGAAATTGTGGTTTTTGCCATTTAAAAGTAATGGCGAAAGCCACAATAATTTTTGCACCAACCTAATACATACAGAGGTTGAGACATTGCCAAGCCCCAAAAGTTCTGGCACTAGAGCTCTGCCTCCATAGAGATATCACACAGTCTTTCCCTGTGGGCAATTGTTCCCTTTCCATACACTGCAGGGAATGCTGTGAATGCTTCCAGCATTCTTGGACAATTTCCAAGTCTGTTGGAATCTACAGTCTCTTACCTTTGTTGTCCTTGAAGGCACTATATTTTTCTATCCTTCATGGTAGCCCCACTTCTGCCCATTATCCTAGCATAATCTTTTTGATGAAGTTCAGTTTTATGGACAAATGCAAAAGCTGCTGATTTCAAGTATGTTTTCCCCTAGAGAGAGGATATTAAGTGGGAGAAGGATCTGAGATAATATTTATTACTTTAAAATTAGATGCTTTGGCAGCACATCATTTCGTATCTTAATCTGTATCATCAAATGTGTGATAGGATTTGTTGACGGAGCTGCTGGCATACTGAGACAGGAGTTAGCCACAGAGGGGAGCAGATCTAGTCTCAAGTTCACAGGTACACAGACATCTCTACCAGTGTCTTATTGCTGCTATAGCAAATTCCCACAAACTTGGCGGTTTAAAATGTATTACCTTACATTTCTAGAGGTCAGAAGTCAAAAATCAGTCTCACTGAGCTAAAGTAAAGGTGTGAGCAGAGCTAGTTCCTTCTGGGGGCTCTTAAGGGATAATTGGTTCTCTTGCTTTTTCAGGCTCTAGAAGTTGTCTGCATTCTCTGACTTATCACTTCTTCTAGTGTCACATCAACCTCCCGTCTTTGTTGTCACATCTTTGACAGCTAACTCTGACCTCCTCCTATAAAGACGCCTGTGATTACATCAGAACCGTTGAAACAATCCAGAAAAATCTCTTCATCAAGATCTTTAAATAACCCCATCTCCAAGTTCCCTTTTTTGCATAAGCTAATTTTCACTTGTTTCTGGAATTAGGCCAGAGACATTTTTGGAAGGTCATTATTTAGCTTACCACATCTGACTATTAAATATCACTATTTTCATGCCCCTTGGAAATTTGAATTAGACCAATTTAAGTACTTAATTTTAATATTCTTATGGCTCCTCCTTGCATATATCTAAGTTAATGGGAGCAACTTGCTCAATAAATGCCTAATAATCATTCTATATATTTCTTTTATCCTCACATCCACTTAGATTCTAAATTGCTTCTTATTTTCCTCCTAATTACCAAATTCACCTATTATTTTAATTCTCCCTGAGTTTTATTCCTAATGTTTTCTTCTCTTACATATTAACCATAATAGTTGTAGCAGTCTTCCTGCCATCACACTTACCCTTTTTCAGTTACTCAATACTACAGCCATCAGAGTAATTTTTATAAAACATAATCTGATAAATCGCCTCTGTTCCCAACAGAAAATCTAAAAATCTGAAGTTGGACCATGCAAGAGTTTTCTGTTTTCTGTAGGGTAAAACCTGCAATAGATGGGCAAGGCCCTGCCTAGACTGCATAGGCTGTAATCATATTTACTAGAGTGATGGTGTGATTAAATTTTGGGTTCCGTACGGGACTGGATTCTCCACAACACAGAAAGCATGCCTCCTTTGCTCACTATTGAATTTCCAGGAGCTGGCACAGTACGTGACAAATACATGCTCAATTGGTTGGATACAATATTGAGGCCTTTCAGAATCTAGTCTTTGTCTTTTAAGTTTTCCTTTCCAATTTACACACATATACACACACAAACCCCAAAATCATGTACAGTACTGAATTAATTGTTCTTCTGCAACTAGTTTGTCATATTCTTGTGCATCTGCTGTCCAGACAATTCTACAATGTTTGCCTGTAGCTTTTTATCTTTCTAAATGAATGGAAAATTGTAGTTGAACCTACAGACATTTAATTAAATGTTAGTCCACTCTGTGTGTATGTAGGTCTATAATACTTAAGAAGGCATGGCCGAGAGGACAAAATATCTGAAAGTCATCTAAATTAAAATGGAATCACTTGCAGGAAAAAAAAAAATTAAAAAAACAAATCTGACAGAGAGAGCCAGGGAAGCCCATGAAGAGATGGTTCTCATGCATGTATCTGATAACAAGACTATTGCAAAAAGACCCTGCAAAAACTACAACGTTGAACAAATGTCATTACAGCTGATACAGTTTGGGTTTGTGTTCCCACCCAAATCTCATCTTTAATTGTAATCCCCAGGTGTCAAGGCAGGGACTTGGTGGGAGGTAATTGGATCATGGGGCCTCTGCTGTTCTCAAGATAGTGAGGGAGTTCTCATGTGATCTGGTTGCTTGACACATGTCTGGCATTTTCCCCAGCACTCTCTCTCTCTAGGGATTAGTGATCCTTGTAGCCAAGTGTAATTATCTCAGAACAACGATGCAATCCTTCTCATTTATTTCTTTAAAAGTCTTTGTCTTCCTTTACCTTCCTGAATTTACACATAGTTTACTATGGCATGTGTATTCCCATTGTAATGCCCTATTCCAGAATAAATGCCATTTCCTTTTACAGAGCCTCTCTCTGTCTTTTAGGTTGACAAATAGTTTGCAGAAAATTAAGATTTGGGCTTTTGTACTTGTATTAGATTTCCATGCTGCCATAAAAATTCACAAATGTAGTAGCTTAAAATAACACAAGTTTATTATCTCATTTTTCTGCAGTCCAGAAGTCTAGGATGACTCAAATGATGTCTTTGCTTTATATTTCACAAAGCCAGGATCTAAGTGGCTTTGTGAAGCCACTGAAGGCTCTGAAGATATTCTGTCCCTAGTCTCCTTCAGTTTGTTGACTAGATTCAATTATTTGCAGCTACAGGACTGAAGTTCCTGCCTCCAGTTGGGACTGGTCCTTGTTCACAGAGGCTACCTTTCTCTTTTTCTCAAGCTCTCTACATGGTCCACTGTACCAGCAACAGTGCTTTCCCTTCCATATTATGTCTCCTGACTCTTCTTCAGTTAAATTATGAACTGACTCTTCCATTTTTCTTTTCTTCTTTTTTAAAATAAAATTTAATGTTTAAATTGGCAAATAATTGTACATATTCATGGGGTACATTGTAATGTTTTCATGTCTATAATGTATAGTGATCAGATCAGGGTAATGAGCATATCCATCATCTCAAACATTTATCTTTTTTTGTGTGTGTTGGGAATATTCAATATTCTTCTTGCTATTTGAATCTATATAATGCATTATTGTTAACTGTTTTTAAAGGCACTTGTGAGTACAGCGAGTCCATTCAGATAATATGCAATAAACTTCCTAATTTATTGTAAGCTGATTAATATCCTCATTCATTCATCTTCAAAGCCACTTCACAAGAGTGCCTAGACTAGTGTTTAATTGAATAAAAAAATAACAATTAGTGATTGATTGAAAACAATCTGTAAGGAGGGAGGGAGGAAAACTAGAATTCTGTTTTCCCTGGTACTGGCAAGGAAGGAAGAATTTCTAACCTTAGGAATAACAGAATGGCATTAAGAGGTCTTCGAAGCATTTAGGATACTGTCTATAAAAGTGAGGCAGGGACTAGAGTCTATACAAAAAAAAAATGAGAGTTTTTTAGATATTGGAAAATTTACATTTTCCTTCTATGTTTCTTATATTTTAAATTGGTTTATTTTTGTTTCTCTTTTTTATCTCCTCTTGGAAATTAATAGGAAACTGGTTTAAATTAAAATTGTCTTTGTGTTATATTTATGAACTGATAAAATTCAGAAAAGTTGAAGACACAGCATCCTAGTACGCTGCAGGCTTGAGCAAAAAAGGAAGCCAGGTGGGAGAAGTATGTGTTGGGAGCTAGTGAGGAGGGAAAACAGATTGTGTGCCTGAGGCCTGCAGGAACAAAGTGAAAGATTAACTGGAAGACTGGTCATGGAAAATTATTCAAGAATAGCAATAATACTTTGTTTTTTAAGATTTAATTACCTCAAGCCAAAAACTTAAGGTTTTTATATTGGTTCCTTAGTATATGTCTGTCTTCTGGTTTGTTTCTTCCCTAAGTCTACGGTACAGATGATCCACAGAAATGGGTAGTCTGATTTTTGTAAAGATTAACAGGTTAGGATAGCAATATAAAGAGTAATATTCTTTTAAAAGTACATTCTGAAATTTGGTATTCTTACGTGGAGTGTATAAAAGCACACTTTATTTTCTTTTTACATTACTTTGACATTTCTAAATTTTCACAATTAATATTTATTATAACAAACATTCAGTGATAAAACAATATCTAAATAACTGCAAAAAGGCATTCATTATTTTTGCATTACTAATAGCATCAATTATTATTTTTTCTCTTTCTCCTTCTTTTATACTTTTTTTATTCAACATAAAGTATAACTGAAGTGTCTGAAATTTGCCACATGCTTCAAAATAAAATTGAATAAAGTAATCCTAGAAAAGATCAGTCTGTTGTAAAAAGATGGGCAAAAAAAAATCATATTCAATGAGTATAGGAAATGTTACAAATGGGAAAGCTTCTAAAAGTCAGCATAAATAGATATGGAGTGTTTTAGAATGTGAACTAGCCACCCAGTTGTTGGATTGGCTTGTGGAGAAGGTTCATTTTATAGATCACTTCTTGAAAGGTGATGTAATCTATGTATATTGAGGTTGAATTTTGACACATTCTATTTGGGAATATCCATTCTGGTATCATACACTTTGTTCCTGTAATAATAACTGATTAGGAACATCCCATTGTTCAAAGATAGCTAGTTTTGGTATTTAGTTAATTTTTGTTCTCCTGATGGGGTTGGAAAAAAAAAAAAGCTTAAATTAGCCTTACTGTCATACTTCTCATCTCTATTAGACCCATACTTCATTTGTCCAAAAAAATCCTGTAAATAAATGCATTATAATTGCTATGCAAACATGGATTCACGTAAGAGGAGTCATTGTCACTACCTACCATGACACACCAGCATGCAGAGTCAAAACTAAAATAATGTTTTCATGCATACGACTTTCCTGGTCCTCTTGCCCCTTACAATCATATTCCAACTCCATACCCTTCCATTAGAGAAATTCCAGAGTAGCTGCTACCATTATATGGAAGACTGAATAATATTCCCAGGCATAGGTGAAGTGTCCTTAAATTTATATTTGAGACACCACAGTTTGATGTTATGCTGATATGCAACATGTTAAACTGTTAACTTCCACATACATTATTTTACCTTTTATTAAACAGGTGTGAGGGGGAAATGCAGTAAAATGCTACAAAAAATAATATGTAAATACTTTTATTTACATATTATTGTAATATGTAATTACAATAATGCTTTTACAAAAATCAAAAATCAAAAACTAGTTATGGCCCAGTGGCAATGAATAAACATGATACAGCTTTGGTAATTTCCCAACTACTTATAAGGCACAAAATAGTTTAGCAACACATATCAGAATATGATATATGTATGTATGTATGTGTGCATGTATTTATTTCTGCTTGTAGTAATTTCTATACTCATGGTATTTTTTAATCATTTCTTTGGGTTATCTCTAGTTTCATATGACAAAAGTATTTCCTAACATCATTAATTCTGTGCAAAAGTTTGAAATTACTCCTTCAAATTGTATATCATAAAATAACAGCTAAAACATAAAAATAACTACAGTTTAACAAAAAATGAAGATTATAGAAAATATTTACATAGTATTTTGCAAGAACAATGTGATAAATATATACTATCATAAAATATATTGACTATTTTACCTTCCTTTTTCATGCACGATAAAATTTGCTTCATCAGTCATACAATGTCAAAGACTATCTTGGGAAGTTTCTCACTTGGAGCAAAAATTATAAAATATAATGATAAGTTTCAACCTTTAACTGATTTTGAAACATGCATTTCTTTTCAAAATTATAAAATTTGACCAATTGTTTATAGTAAGACTCTTGAATAAGGTAGTTCCAAGTGATGTTTCTTTATAAATACTAAAGTCAAACCCTTTATAATTCATGATGCAAATTCTATAATTTAAATGACATAGTCACTATGTCAAATAAATGTTCTCCCATAAATTGAAGGGATTTTATCATTAAAATACAGAATAAAAATATACTTCATGATAAACTTAACTCAAACCATCATCAATTCATATGAAATAAGTGTGGTTATTTTCTTAGGAAGATATACATAAAGAAGTAAATTTGTGATATACTTTTGAGTTTAATGACAGTAGGAAGAAAAAGTGGTGTTTTTTTTCTTTGAACTAGCTCACACCTGTTTATTCAGATGCCTAATTTTAAATATAGTACATATTCAGAGTTGCAGAATTGTTGCTTAGACTATCAGATTCTATGACTAAAAAATACCAATTGAGCTAATCTGGAACAACTTAAATGATATTTTTTTCTTTTATTATCAAATATAGAAAAGAAGTATTACAGAAAACGGATATTTAGATTGTAAAAGATAAATTCAAGAACCTAAACCTCAAACAGAATTTTTGCAAAATGTGGAGTGACGTGAAAAAAAATTACATAAATCATCTTCTTTTTCTATGTATGAGCCTGTGATGTAAGGCATTTTACACTTGTAAGGAGGGCAGAGTGGCCCTAGTCTATGTGTTTCTGTAGGTTCCTGAGACAATATGCACTGCCTTTCTATACTGGACTATTATAACATCAACAATTATAATATTTTGGGAGGGGTGGGAAGAAAGTTCCACGTCTCACTCGACTCTTACATACTCCCATGAGCAGATGCTAGATATTATTAGGACTATTTATAAACACTTGGAGCAACACTGTCTATTCCAGAAGTCTAGAAATAACTGAAAGACTCATGAATTTTACAGCAAGATAGAAGCCATGTCACACTTTTCCTGCTAATAACTTTAATATTATGAAATATTGGAGAGCTTGGAGGACACCAGATGAAAAATATTTTGAGAAAATCAATTATTATAAGTAACATTGCTAAAATTTTCAGCACTTTTGTTTCTCTGAACCAGAAGGTGGAATTCAGGCTGGCCTCACATGCCAGCAAGAACTCTAGGCTCAGTAGAAGATCTCAAGTCTTTCTGACTCTCTAGAGCAGAATCCTTTTTCGCTGCATGGATGGAATCTAAGGGTACAGCTCTAGAGTGCTGCCTTCCACAACAGATGTTAAGCAGGCAAGGTTCCATAAATATTTTAAGATTTTATTGTGTATGTGAAGACACATACTTTTATTTTTAATTTAAATCAGAAGTATGAAAATGAATGTATGCTATTTGTCCACTAGGGAAACAAAACAAAGCAGTCTAAAAATTTCAGGTAGGAGAGGATGTAATACAAGGTGCTTACAAAATAGATGGGAAGACTGAAAAACAGGCTCTATTTTGTCTCCAAGAATATTACAGAAGTGATTCAACAGTGGGCAATACTACAACTCAATCCAATTACATTAGGGTAAACCAGAAGCAAAAAAGAAAAAAAATTATAGCTTTTGACATGGCTACCTCTCACACCCAGAAGAAAAAAATGGAGAGTGGGAGACTGTCCAGGAATGGCTCATATTTCCATACTCCTGCTTGGCAGCACCCTGCCTGCTAGCAGTCAAGTACTGTAGTATAATAATCTGTGACTCGTTTTTGCTTCTGTCACAGGATCTTTCGAGTGTCATTTCACCAGCCAGAAACCTCTGTGCCCAGTGGCGCCTTTACCTGAGATTTGTTTGGACCCGCTGGGCTCCTTCTGCACACTAGGCCCGGCAGACACCCTACCCGCCAAGATCCCATGCCTGATAAGGGTAAGCCATGCATGGAGCAAGAGTGTAGGGATGCCCGGGTACAGAGCTGCGGCTGGGTGGCTGCAGCCACACCTGGGAGGGGAGGGCTCCCACCCCACCAACGCATAAGGGAGCGGGGTTCCTGCCTCTTCCAGGCTCCTGGCGGCTCCATTGCATGCGTAGCCCCCCGGCCATGCCTTCCTCGCTGCAGCGGGCACCTTAACAGTGGCCACTCCAGACAGGTGGCCTCTGACATCACTTCCAAGTCTCAAAAATGTACATGAAATGTTTTAAGTGAAGTTTCTGGATTCAGGAGAGTTTGGGCTATAGTGGCCTCTAATCTTCCAGCATGTAGTAGTCTCTAATCTTCCAGCATTCTCAATTAAATAAGATAGAATGTGAACTTGGATGCAGTCCATCCAGAAAAGCCCCCACATAGATTATATTCCTTAGTAATCATTAATGTACACAAAGAAAATCAGAAATTTGAAGAAAAAAATGGTGAAATGTTTCTTTTAGCAATGAAAATTTATGTCCCCTAAAGTTAAAAGAAAACTCTATATTAAATTATTTATATGTTCACAATATTTCAAAATCATATCATCAGGTGTTAACAACATCCTAATATAATGTATTACAGATCTGTGGAGATTATTTCAATTTTTAAAAATATTTAATTTTTATTTATTTCTAGATGTCTGCATTATTAAATACAGTTCACTATAAATAATTAAATCATTTATGATTTGGTGTTTGTTACTAAATTATCTGAGCCTCATTGTACTCTTCTATGAAACACAGATGATAAAAATTGAATGTTCAGCTTAAACAAAATGGTGCATTACATGACTTGTGTATCATAAATGTTCAAATATTATTAGCTATAATAGTAAAATGATCATGACTGTGATTGATTATGTAGAAATTATACGGAAGACTCCCTCTGGAATGCTGCCAGAGTTTTTGCATGAAAAAAAGTGTTTTCTTGTTATTTTTGTGTATAAACAATATATTGACTTGCTGAAAGTGTACTAATTACAATTTTTTTCTGTAACTCTAAATATACTACTGGCATCACAGAGTTTTTTTATTTGTTTGAATGCATGTAGACTTTTCTTAATGCTGGAAATTCAAAAATGACAGTAGGCTATGTGTATTTGTTAGATTTCTTTCTTTTTTGGAAAAAAAACACTTTAAGACAACTTCAAGCAACTCAAACAATGGATTGTTGCTACAACACTTGTTAGCTTTTCACAATCTAGTTATTGCAAAGTCATATGGAGAAATGTTAATGGACAAAGTAAAAAACGAGGCACCTTAATGAATGTAAAATTTGAAATAAAAAGACATTCAATTCACTGACTTCTAAAAGAGGCTAAATATACCTCTATATATTATATTCTAAAATTGTATTGCCTACTATTGTGTCCTGGAGTCTACAATTAATTTTAAGGAAATGCATAAACAAAACTGTGAGCAACCTGCAAAGGGAAAATAATTTTCTTAACTTCATTTCATGGAAAAGACAATGAAAAATCTAGTATGGTATATACAATTTGCAGTGCAGTGGGCAGTATAGTCCTCACAGCTCAAAGATAACAGATTTATGTCTTTAATGTGGTAAAGTGAGAGAGAAACATTCCCCACCCCACCACCTTTCAAAACAACTCTGTCTTGTGTTTGTTACTATTCTTTTCTTCTTTATGTGATTAATTCCACCTGCTCTATTTGCACCTTTGTATATTCTTATTTTAAATCTTTATTTAAATCCCTATTTCACTGTATTTATTATCTAATCATTTTTATATTTTCCTTATAATTTATATCTCTTTTTTCTTTGTGTTTTGTGATATTTTAAATGCATTTTTTTCTTTTGAAATTGTTTTCCGTTTGTAGGAAACTTACAAGCATTATACAGAGTTTCTCCATAGCATGCATCAACTTTTCTATCTTAAGATTTGATACTACTATGATACATTTGAAATAACTAATAAATTAATATTGATGCATTATTATCAGCTAATGTCCGTATGTTATACAGATATCCTTAGTTTTTAACTTAGTATCTTTTTCTCTGTTTTAAGACCCATTCCAGGATAAAACACTACCTTTAATAATTGTATCTACTTAGTATCCTTTTGATTGTGACAATTTCTCGGGCTTTCCTAGTTTTGGAAGACTTTGACAGTTTTAAGGAGTACTAGTCAGATATTTTGTAGACAACCTCTCAGTTGAGGTTTTACTGATGTCCTTCTAGACTGGAAGGACTCCAGTCCTGCTAGACTGGAGTTGAAG
Organism: Homo sapiens; assembly: GCF_000001405.40. NCBI lineage: Eukaryota > Metazoa > Chordata > Mammalia > Primates > Hominidae > Homo > Homo sapiens. The sequence goes on along the minus strand of NC_000013.11, from coordinate 89,738,995 downwards.
GCTTTCAGGAGGAAGAAATATACAGAGCTAAAGAACCTTTCTCATTACATTACTGTCAAGGCTACATACTATCAATGCGATTTATGACTATTGATGTTGACTAAGATAGTATTCATCAGGATCTTTACTGTGGAGTTATTCATTTTCCACGCTTTCCAAACTATATTATTGTGGAGAAACTCGCCATGTGCACCATACACATAAGGAATGAAGAGTTATGTTCCACCTTCTTAATGTAGAGATAGCTACATAAATTTTTTCAAATACTTCTGATTGGGTGTTTTCTCTAGTCTCCCTTATTTACTAACTTATTCAATAACTTCCACCAGAATGGAGCCATAGATATTTCTTTTATATGTAATTCAATATTTATTCATTATGTTGCTCAAATTCTTCCAGCTTTGTCCCTTGGGAGGTTTCTTAATTGGATCCTGTGTCCCTGTGAAGTGTCTCCACCATGGTGCTTTTTGAGCACATCCTTACCCTCTGGCACATAGACTACTCCAGGCTCACCTTATATATTCCCTAGCCAATTCATGGGTCTGCTTTTTGTCAAGGATCCCTGCGTTTTTTAATTGGGTGATAGTTTTTTAAAAACAAGATCGGCTTATTGCTATTGAGGTGTCACTGCTTCTCAGCAGACCTTCTCAGCAAACATAGCTTGAAAGTGTGTGTGTGTGTTTAACATGGTATCACATGGTTTATTCTAGCCTCCTTGACTCTGTCTGTAACCTTTCATTCCAACAGTGAGACATCTAGCTCCCAGGAGTCAGCTTCTGCCATTCACTTACTTACTTGTTCAGTTTCAGTATTCAATTATAGTGGCTTCAGCGTTGTTAGCTTAATCTCATGAATAACAACATTGCCAAACAAACTCTGCTTGTTTACTGATCCTTTTGTGTTTAGTCTGATAATATCCACTCTTTTTCAAAATAATATAGGCAAAAACATTTTCCCTATCCCTTCCATGAAATTGTCTCACATATTATAATTACATTCTTCTGTGACAGTCGGAATTCCATCCTAGGATCCCCCAACTTCATAATTTATTCCTTAACATTTTTTCATACATTAAAGTTCACCTTGTTTTTCATATTATTCTGTGGGCTTTGACAAATGTATAGTGTCATATATCCACTATTATAGTGCCATACAGAATAGATTCACAGATCAAAAATATACTTTCTGTTTCACCTATTCAGATAGTTACAGCTATCTAGAGTGGTGCTTTGGGGAAAATTCAAATCCACTTTGAACTTTTCAGTGGTCATTAAGCTGATGGTTTGCACATTCTCCTGTTTGTCATGCTACCTGTTGGTTTTCAAAGCTCCCACAGACCTGGGGTAGTGTAAAAGGAATAATGTAAGTTAAAATGCCAAGAACCTTGTGTTTTACATTCAGTAAATGCTCCTCAGATTTTTGTAAGCCTTTTATCATTTAAAGAGTTTGAAAAAAGTTTATTTTGACTATTTTTTTCAGTGTTCTTATCACATAAATGGAGGATCAATTTTTTTAAGATGCTTACCACACTGTCCAAGGAGTGATTCCCTTCCAGCTCTCTTTAGATAGAAACTTAAGTTGTTTCCCATGATTTATAATAAATAATGAAACATTGAATAGCATAATATTTTTACACAATCATGAGCGTGCCAGTAAATAAGTTATGTGAGATGGAATATTGGCTCAAAACAATTGAATATTGTTCTACCATAACTAGGAATGAACTACTGACACATACTGCAACTTGATGATGTCCTAAGTGAAAAAAGCCTAATTCAAATGTACACACTATATGATTCCATTCATATAAAATGGCCTTCATTGACAAATATAGAATGACATAATAGAGATTTGTAGTTTCCAGAGGCTAGGATTATGTGGGAGTGGAGAGTGACTGCTAATGAGTATAGTGTTTATTTGGGGTTGACGAAAATGTTCTAGAATTAGAAAGAGGTAATGGTTGCATAAATCAGTGAATATATTAAAAACTACTGAATTATACCTTTTAAAATAGTAATATGTAAACTTTAATTAGAATAAGTACTTTATGATTCATTCCTACTATAACTAGTATGAATCTATAATAAGAAAAGGTAGATTGTTATAGACTTATGCATTGCTACACAAACCTGAAAAATTTCATAAGTTATATTGAGTTTCAAAACTTATGTTAATGACCTAATAGTAGCCACAAAACATTCCCCAAATTGTTTTAAACATAAGTGGTTTTAAGTGTTTGTGTACAGACTCATGTAAATAAAGAGAAAACAAACTGGAACATTGCAAAGAACTTTCATTCAACTTAAAATTTGTCAACTTCCAAACTCAAGCTTTTCTCAGGCTGAAAATCTAATGGGGAAGAAATCCACGATCAGTTTTCTGCTTTTATTCAGTGTATACCCAAGTGCTGTGATTCTTTATATTCTTCAGGATAGTAGTGAGCAAAAGAAAACCAGGTAAAGATCGATAGAGCTTGATTGGTTTTATTGTGAACTAAAGTTAATTTGGCCATGTCAGTGGGGTTGGGCTCAGTGGGAACAGAGGTAGATTGTAACACAATAAGGGCTCAGGACCCAATGAAGGCTGCGTTGCGTGTTCAGGGCTTCTAAAGCCACCTCTGACCAACTGGAACACGCAGAGTGTAATGATTTCAGATTTATTTGTATCAACCAAATCCTGCACAACTTAATTTTTAGACAAATTTAATTGGGAAATATACAAAAACTCTTATTCTGAAACTGTGATTCCCAACACTCATTTGACTCTCAATAGAAAAAATATTTCTCCTTTGTTTTGAATCTAAATCTGTAGTTTGCCAATCTTTTTTCCTCATTTTTATTCCTCTAAGGATCTTTTGTTGATTTCTTTTTATTAATTCACTCCCTCCATAAAATTTCCATTCCACAGCTATACAATATATCTATGTACCATGGCCCTTTGGAGGGTCATAAACTGTTGTAATATCTACCCCTTCTGACCAAGTACACCTTTTTCGGAAAATATAATTTCTATTGAGGAATCCACTACATATATTGCATTCCGTCTTTCTGTTTCACTGTTCTTGAATGAGTAAAAATTAATAGGAGCTCTTAATTATCTATTAACAAGCAGATGGATACTTCTTTTGTTCTACTTCTGCCCAATAAGTTGCCATTCTCTATACACTAGGAATAAATGGATATTTGTGCTATCATTTCAGAGATCAAGTTGTTTTCAAAGACAAGACAAGTACATTGAAACAAATTCAATACTAGTAGGGCCACTTCACTGTGTACCAATTTCTTGAATATTTGGTAATCCTGCTTCTCCAATGACCAGTTTAATGTATTGTCTTTTCAACTGAATCATCCTTAAGCTTTGGGGCCTACATTAGTTTTTTTGCGTTATTCAGTGAACGATATGCATGTGATATGTTAAACCATTCTTAGTATATTTGTTGCTTGGAACTTAAGGCTCTCTAGCAGAGCTGATGTTGAAATCAAATAATCGACAAATATAAAATAAATTTTAATTATATTTTCTATGAAATATATTTTTGCTAAGATTCTAGTCCTCATTCTTTCCAAACTATCAGTTTATAGCTACTTTTTTCAGGATATTCCCTTCTGAATTTCCAGAAATATATGCCAGTCCCACAGGAATGGATCTGTGGTTCAACCCATGATACCATCATTTTATCTTATCTATTTGTGTTTTGAATAAGATAAATTTCTTTTCATTCCAGGCATTTTGGTGATTTTTTTTCCTATAGTTCTGTATTGTAATGAAGGATTTTTCTTCTTATTATGAATCCACAGTCATTTAATTTTGGGAAGATTATAAGGGAGTTACGCCACAGACCTCTGTTAATGTGCCGTAAAAGTACTAATCCTTAAAAACGTGTCCCATCTTACCTTCCTACATTATTGTATTATATATCTTAACACTTAATGTCAGTAGCAGTACTTGTTTTCTTCAGAATATTATTATTTAAATAAACATGAAATGGAAAGGACACAGGGATGATTAAAAAAAACCATTTTAGGAGTTTTCAGTTGGCATTTAAGAAGCTTGGAAATCAACACTCCATCCTAATAATAAAAAATGTGGCAAACTAAAAAATCAACAACTCTTCTTAAATCAGTAAGCAAAGTGACATAATAGGCAAACAGCTGCCACCAGAATTTGAGAGAACATCAGGCAAATACAAAGAATCAGATCTTACTGGAGCAGAAACCCATAGGCAGCAACCTCCACAGGAACCAGTCCTGAGATAGGAAAACTTAACTTGTAATTGCTAAATTGCTGAAGATCCAGCGTAGCAAAACCTGCAAGATGAAAACTCCAGGGGGACACAAGTCAATGGGGGATGAGGAAAAAGGAGGCCACACTTAAGTGAATTTTACTACTACCAGGTACTCTACCAGGTCCTCACAGTGAACATCAGAGAAAAATCTACTTATGCTTTGGCAGAGGCAGAGAAAATTAACTTTTAAAAACTACTTCAGAGGATTCTGTTCTTAACAAGGTCTGCTCTCAGGAGAAGCTATTTAACCATAGTCTAACCTGCTGGGGTTCTAACAGAGCTTAACTTACTTGTGGGAAGGGAAATATCCCACTCAAAATAACTGTGATTATCCTGTGTCACCCAAGGGTGTTAAAAAATAAACAAAAATACTACAAAGAAACACAAATGAAGTTCACAATTCAGAGCCACAGGCTCACTAAGGACTGAGACTTAATCATGAAACCATGGAATGCTTCCCTTCAAGCTAGATTTTACCACCATATTCATAAAAACGTATTTATACTAATCCCTTTTACGCAGTACATCATTTCCAGCTGTCAATAAAATATTGCAACACATAGTAAAAGACAAGTAATAATAACTTGAAGAGATAGAGCAACTGTCAAAAAACAGTCGCAGATTTGGCAGGGATGTTGGGATTCTCAGACTGGGAATTTAATACAACTGTGATTAAGTTAAGGTCTCTAACTGATAAAGTGGACAGCCTACGTGAACACATGGACAATGTAAACAGATAGATGGAAATTTGAGTCAATGCTTAAATACATACTAGAGGTTAAAAACACAGTAATAGAAGTGAAGAATGCCTTTGATGGGCGCTTATCAGCAGACTGGATACAGCTGAGGAAAGACTCTCTGCCCTGAGGATATCAGTATAAATCTCCAAGATGGAAGAACAAATAGAAACATAATGAAGAAAGAAAGAAAGAACACCAGCATATCTAAGAACTATAGGACGACTACAAAAGATGTGCCACATGTATATAGACAGATGATCTGCTACTTACAATTGTTCGAGTGGTGATTTTTCTTACTACAAAGATGGAAATACGATACACATTCAGTGGAATTCTTGCTTTGAGTACCCATACACCCACTCTGTTTTTACTTTCAGCACAATAGTCAATATGTTACATGAGATACTCAACACTTTATTATAAAATATGCCTTGTATTAGATGATTTTTGACTACCTCTAGACTAATGTAAGTGTTCTGAGCATGTATATTTTAAGCTAAGCCATAATGTTTTGTGGGCTATGTGTATTAAATACCTTTCAGTTACAATATTTTCAACTTAAGATTGGATTATTGGGATATAACTTTATTAAAAACCAAGGAGCACCTGTATTTAGAATGCCAAAAGGAGAAGGAAAATGAAAAAAAAAAACAGGTGAAATATTTGAAGCAATAAAATTACTGAGAATTTTCCAAAATTAATGCCAGATATCAAATGATAGATCCAGTGAGCTCCAAGAACACCATGCTAGATAAATGCCAGAAAACTACAAATAAACATATCAATTTGATATTACAAAAAATGAAAGATGAAGCAAAAATCCTGAAAGAAGCTACAGGAGAAAAAAATACCTATAGAGAAGTAACGATAAAAATTAAACACAAAAACATTACAAGAAAGATAACAGTGAAGTGGAATGTTTAAAGTATTGAGAAACAGAGAACAACAACAACAGCAACAACAACAAGAGAAATCCACCAATCTAGATTTCAGTACTTTATGAAATTATTCTTCAAAACTGAAGGAGAAATAAAGACTTTCTAAGACAAACAAAAATTGAAAGTATTTGTTTCAGACATGTAATCCCAGCACTTTGGGAGGCCGAGGCAGGCAGATCATGAGGTCAAGAGATCGAGACCAATCCTGGCCAACATGGTGAAACCTCGTCTCTACTAAAAATACAAAAATTAGCTGGGCATGGTGGTGTGCGCCTGTGGTCCCAGCTACTTGGGAGGCTAAGACAGGAAAATCGCTTGAACCCAGGAGGTGGAGGTTGCAGGGGGCCGAGATCATGCCACTGCATTCCAGCCTGGCAATAAAGAGAGACTCCCGTCTCAAAAAAAAGAAAAAAAATGAATGAAAGTATTTGTTACCAGTTGATCTGTCTTGCATGCAGTGTTAAAAGAAAGTACTTAGAGAGAAGGAAAAAAAAATGTGTCCAAAATTCAGATCAACATTTATAAAAGAGCACCTGAAAAGGAATGATTAAATATAAAATAAAAGTTTTTGTTTTCCTTATTCTTAATTGGTCTAACAGATAGTTTTCTAAAAAAATAGAAGCAATGAATGTGTTTCATTATGTATCCATATATACACATATATATGCTCAGTGTTCTCAATGCATTCAAATATATATGCGTATATAGTTTAATCTTATGCAGCATCAGTCTGAACAACACAGGTCAATTTATATGCATATTTTCTTCCACTTCTGCCACCTGTAAAACAGTAAGAACAATCTCTTCTCTTCCTCTTCTCCCTAAGCCTCGTCAGTGTGAAAACAATAAGGATGAAGACCTTTATGATAATCCACTTCCATTTAATGAATAGTAAATATATTTTATCATCCTTATACATTTTTAAATAACATTTCCTTTGGTCTACCTTAATTTGTTGTAAGAATACAACATATAATACATAAAACACACAAAAATACATGTTAATTCATGGTTTTTGTTTTTGGCAAGGATTCCAATCAACAGTAGACAATTTGTAGTTAAATTTTAACAGTCAAAAGTTATTTACAAATATTCTACTGTATGGAGGGTCAGTGTCACTCAAACCCTATTGTTCATGAATCAACTTTATGTACCTACATACATGTTTTAAAATGTATAACATTATATATATGTATATACCTGAAGTTCTCTGAGCTTCCTGGATTTTTTTTCAGCAATGGCATTAATTATCTGCGTGTGTGTGTGTGTGTGTGTGTGTCTGAGTGTGTTTGTGCTTTTGTATCAGTGAAATAAAAATATCAACAATGATACAGGTGACAGAAGAGAGAAATTATAAACATTTGGTTATTTTGTTACTTTGTTATTTGTAGTATTACTGGCAGTACATGTGAAGTGATATAGTGTTATCTGAGAGTGCATTGAATTATTTATAGATGTATATTAAAAATTCTAGGGCAACCACTAAAAAATTGAGTAAGAAATGAAGACAATTAATATATTAAAAAAGAAGAGAAAATGGAATGTTATAAAATGGTCACTTTAAACCACAAAAGGCAGACAAAGAGTGGAAGACCAAAAAGGAACAAAGAACAATAAAAACAAATGGAAAACAGTAAAAAAAATTGTTAGATATTATTCCACCTATATCTTTAAATATCAATGGTCTAAATGCACTACTTAAAAAATAGATATTTTTAAGACTGGATCAAAAAAAAGCAGATTCAACTAACTCTATGTTGTCTACAGGAAACACTTCAAAGATAAAGACACCAATAGGTTAAAGATAAATTAATGAAGAAATATATACCGTGCTAACACTAAGCAAAAGAAAGTGAGATTAGTAATATTAACTTCAGACAGAGTAATTTCAAAGCAAGGAATGTTATCAGACATAAAGAAGGTCAAAATAATGATAAAGGAGTCAGTTCTTCCTGAACACATAACAATCCTTAAGGTGTATTGTCTAACAATAGACCATCAAAATATATTACGCAAAAAGTGATTAGAACTGCCAGAAAAAATAGATGAATCCAATATTATAATTGGAGACTTTAATATCTTTCTATCTTTGAACAGATCCAGCAGGAAATAAGTCTGTAAAAATATACTTCAAAACAACAACATAATTAAATAGATATAATCGACATATATAAATATTTTAGGCAACAACAGCATAACATACATCCTTCTCAAGCTCACATGGAACATTTACCAAGATAAACCATATTTCAGGCCTTTAAAAAACCTTAATAAAATTTTTAAAAATAGAAATCTTACAATTTTTGCCCTCAGTTCACAATGCAATTGAACTAGAAATTAAAACAGAAAAATAGCTGGAAAATCACAAAATACATACAGATTAAACAAAGTACTTCTAAACAACACATAAGTCAAGGCTGAAATCTCAAGAGAATTTGAAAATATTAATAATTTGACCTAAATAGCAATAAAAACACAACTTATCAAAAATTTGTAGGATGAAGTGAAAGCAGTGCTTAGAGGGTAATTTTATACTGAAAGCGTATGTTAGAAGAGAGTAAAGATCTGACATGAATGATCTCTCCTTCCTTCTTCAGAAATGAGAAAAAGAAGACCAAATTAAATTTAATGTGAGTAGAAGAAAAAATTACAAAAATTAGAGCAGGAATTAATAAAATTAAAAACAGAAAATCAATAGGAAGATCAACAAAAACAAAAGTTGGATCTTTGAAAAAGTCAGTAAAATTGATGCATCTCTAGAAGGAAAAAAAAGAGAGGACACAAATTACTCAATCGGAAATAAAAAGAGGACGTTACTAAAGATCCCATGGACATTAAAGTAATAATAATAGAATACAGTGAACTCTATTACTGCAAATCTGGTAACCTTGATGAAATGAAGACTGTCAAAACTCATTTAAGAATAAATAGACAATATGAATAGACCTGTATCTATAAAATAAATGGAATCAATAATTAATAACTTTACAAAACATAAAGCACCAGATGTAGAGGAGTTTACTGATGAATTCTACCAAGAATTTAAGATATATCTATATCAATATCTATATCTATATATATCTATATATCTCTATCTCTATCTATCTATCTATCTATCTATCATCTATCTATCTATCATCTATCTATCTATCTTTAAATAGATATCTTGGATTTTCCATACAGAGGACTAAGTTATTTGTGAACAGACAGTTATATTTCTTCCTTACTATCATACATATATAGATATAGATATAGATATATATGCATGCCATTATCTACAATCTCTATCAAAAGATAGATTCAGAGGGAATACTTTCTAAGTCATTTGATGCAACTAGCATTACTATAATACCAAAACCAGAAAAAGGTATTACAAGAAAATTACAGAATAATATTTCTCATGAGTACAGATGCAAAAATCACCAACAAAATATTAGCAAATTAAATCCATCAATGCACAAAAATAATTATATATTTTGATTAAGTGAAATTTATTTCAGGTATGCAAGCCTGGTTCAATATTTAAAAATCAACTAATGTAATCTATCAAATCAGTAATAAAATAACATTGTAGAAAATAACATGATCTTATCAATAGATGCAAAAAAAGCACTTGGCAAAACCCAACAGCCATTCATGATAAAAAGTCTCAGTAAACTAGAAATAGAGGGAAGCTTCCTCAACTTGGTAAAGAATACCTACAAAATAAATTACAGCTCAGCTAGCATCACACTTAATGGTAAGAAACTATTAGCTTTCTCATTAATATTAGGAAAGAAACAAAAATGTTCCATCTAACCACTCCTTTTCAACATTGTGTTGGAAGTACTAGTCAATGCAGTAAGATAGAAAAAGAACATAGAATGTATACAGATTGGTAAGGAAGAAATAAAACCCCCTCTGTTCACAGATGACACCGTATCTATGTGCAAAATCCAAATAAATCAACAACAACAAAAATCCTCTTGGAACTACTTGGCAAACATACAAGGTTGCAGTATATAAGGTTAATATAAAAACCTTAATTTCTTTCCTATATGCCACCAATGAACAAGTAGAATTTTAAATTCAAAACATAATACTATTTCAATTAGCACCCCAAGTATGAAATACTTGTAAGTCCACCAAACAAAACATGTATAATATCTACAGGAGAAAAGCTACAAAAGTCAGATGAAAGAAGTCAAAAAGAACTAAATAAATATAGTTATTTTAAGTTTATGGATAGGAAGACTTAATATTGTCTATATGTAAGTCCTTCAAAATTTGATCTATAGATTAAAATTGATCTCAATAAATTTACAAGTAATTTAGTGGATATTGACAGACTGATTCTAAAATATATGTGTAGAAGCAAAAGGCCCAAAATACTAGACACAATATTGAGAAGAAAAACAAGGTAGGAAGATTGACACTACTCAAATTCAAAACTTAAAATAGGCCGGGCGCAGTGGCTCAAGCCTGTAATCCCAGCACTTTGGGAGGCTGAAGCGGGTGGATCACTAGGTCAGGAGATCAAGACCATCCTGGCTAACACGGTGAAACCCCCTCTCTACTAAATATACAAAAAATTAGCCTGGCGTGGTGGCGGGCGCCTGTACTCCCAGCTACTTGGGAGGCTGAGCCAGGAAAATGGTGTGAACCTGGGAGGCGGAGCTTGCAGTGAGCCGAGATGGCACCATGGCACTCCAGCCTGGGCAACCGAGCGAGACTCCGTCTCAAAAAAACAAAAAACACAAACAAAAACAAAAACAAAAAACAAAACAAAACAAAAAAACTTAAAGCAATAGTAATCAATACAATGTGATACTGATGACAAAAAAAACAGACAGATAGATCCAATGGAATAGAACAGAGAACCCAGAAATACACCCACATAGATAATGTTAACCAATCTTAGACTAAGGAACAAAGGCAATACAATGGATCAAAGTATTTTCAAAAAAAGATACTAAAACAAATAAACATTTACATGCAAAAACATGAATATAAACACAGATATTACACATCTCATACAAATTATCTCAAAATGGGTCATTGCTATAAATATAAATCACAAAATTAGTAAATTCCTAGAAGATAACATAGGAAAAAACCTAGATGATTTCCAGTATAGTTATGAGTTTTTAGATATAACAACAAAGGTACAATCCATCATAAAATTAATTAATAAGCTGGACTTTATTAAAATTAAAAACTTCTGCTCTGTGTAGTTAATGCAAAGCAATGAGAAGACAAGCCACATGTCCAAAAATAACATCTGCTAGAGGACTTACCAAAAATATACAAAGAACTCTTAAGACTCAACAATAAGAAAATAATCCATTTAAAATGTGAGCTAAAGAACTTAACAGACATCTCACCAAATATTTGCAGATAAAAAACATACTTACAAAAAGGTGTTCCCCATCATCTGTAATAAGGAAAATGAAAATTAAAACAATAATAAAATACAAGTATATACCTATAAGAATGGCCAAAATTCAGAACAGTGACACCACCACAATTCAGAAGGGTGAGAATGTAGTGCAACAGAAACTCTCATTCATTGCTGGTACAAATCCACAATGGTGCAACCATTCTGGAAGACAGTTTGAGAGTTTCTTATAAAACTAAACATATTCTTCTATTGTGACCCAGCAATCATACTTCTTGGAATTTACCCAAAGGAAATGAAAGCTTATGTCCACACAAAGACGTTCACATGGATGTTTATAGCAGCCTTACTCATAATTGCCAAAACTTGGCAGCAACCAAGTTTCCCTTCAGTAGGTGAATAGATAAATAAACTGTGGTACATCCAACCAATGGGATATTGTTTAATGCTAAAATGAAGTGATCTGTCAACCATGAAAAGACATGGAGTGTTCTTAAATAAATACTTCTAAGCTTAAAAAAATGTCTGAAAAGGCTACACCCTGTATATTCCAAATATATGCCATAGTGGAAAAGGCAAAACTATGGAGAGGGTGAGAAGATCAGTGGTTACCAGGGAGAAGAGGTAAGGGACAAATGAACAGGCAGAGCACAGAGGATATTTAGGACAGTGAAACTATTATGCATGACACTATAATGGTGAATACACATCATTACTAATTGGCCAAAACCGAGAGAATGCACAACACACAACCTCAAGAGTGAATCATAACATAAACTACAGACTTATTATGATGAGTCAATTATAATGATGAGTCAATTTAGGTTTATCAATTGTAATAAAACATACCACACCACTGAGGACTGTTGATAATGAGGGATGCTATGTATCTGTGGTGGCAGGGGGTACACAGACAATTGCATACCTATGCTCAATTTTACTGAGAACCTAAAACTGATCTAAGAGATAAAGTCTGTTAAAAGGAAACATTTTAGTAAGCAAATCACATACTCATAGATTATTAGTGTCAAAAGAAATTTAAAATTTCTCAAATTCTCAAACTATTTTAATAAAATATATACTTGTCAGATAATATTGTACGTGATTAGCAAATTTGAACAATTAAGTATTTTAAAATAAGCTGAGTATCACAAAATCTAACCATAGTGTGAAATAATCTGCTTATAATAAGACTGCTATGTATTGGATACAGCTAAATAAAGATGGTCACAAATTCTTCGGTCCTCATCACATTGAGAGGTAGATTTTATGCCCCTCCCCTGGATGTGGGCTAGTCTGAGATTGCTTTGAACAACAAAGCGTGCCACCAACCATATTATACCAATTTTATGTCAAGAATTAAGTGGATGTATTCCTTCTTACTTCATCTTGAATCAGCCCTGAGCCACAGAGTAAGATTTACAACTATTCTGAGGCCACCATACTGTGAGGAAGTCCAACCACTCACGTGAATTGGTCTTACAAGGAAGAGAACGAAAATGAAAGCCTCAGATAGTCTCCAATTATTCTAGATGGATTTAACAATCAAATTGTTAAGGCCATTTGGTTTATGCCGACTGAGACGCAAGACAGTATGGCAGAGAGAGAGAGGTAAAAACTAATGTACCTCGCTAATCCACAGTCATGGATATGCTAACAATAGATTATTGTTTTAAGTCCTTCACTTTGAAGCGTTTTATCACACAAGAGCAGATATGTGAAATAGTTACCAGATATAAGAATAAAAAATTAGTAAAGGTTATTTTTTGTGCCTAATAACTTTATAATATACAAGTAGAGATAGATATCAATCATTTGAATTAAATATTAAAAATTAGAATTAACAATTTATACTTATTTTAAAAAACTAATTTTAATATGTGTAAATTCAAATGAGATTATCTACAGTAGATATCTACAATAGATTAATAATAGCATAAAATGAGATTATCCACAATAGTTATTAAAAACAACTGGTTTTCTTCACTACAGAAGAAGTTCAATAGTTTGTACTATTTACAGAGAAAAAAACACTTATCATTCATTTTGTTAGTGTGAATTAAAAGTCTGCTATGTGTCATTCTCATTTTTAGACACTACATATAAGAGCAATGAATAGAAATGACAGCAGCCCTGTTATTATGGGAGTGAAAATAAACAATACACAAGTACATAAATGCACTAATACAACTTCGGAAAGGGATGTTTAAAGAGAACCGAGAGTGAACGCAGGAGCTACATTAAAGAGCGAAAATTTGGAGTCTGAGACCATCCTGGCCAACATGGTGAAACCCCATATCTACTAAAAATATAAAAAAATTACCCAGGCATGGTGATGCACACCTATAGTCCCAGCTACTTGGGAGACTGAGGCACGAGAATCACTTGAGCCCAGGAGGTAGAGGTTTTAGTGAGCCGACATCTGGCCACTGCACTCCAGCCTGGGCAACAGAGTGAGACTCCTTAAAAAAAAAAAAGAATGATAAAAATAGATCTATAGCTATCTCATGAATCCATCATATATGACTTGAGATTAAAAGGAAGAAAAGAAGCCATTCATATGGGAAGTCAGAGCAAACCCATCTATGCAGACTATAAAATCTTTAGGACAAGAAAACACATTTGAGAAGAACGAAGCCAGTGTAACTGGGGAATAACAAAATGAGATAGAATGGGTTGAAATAGAGCCAAGGGCCCAGAGTAGGCACAGCTTACTGGTGGCAGTGAAGAGCAATGGGAAAGTCGCTAACTGTGTTAAGATAGAAGTAATCCACATTAAGTGGATGAATTGGAGGAGAGGAGAAAGAGGAGGCTGTGAGACAACTTAGGAGACCATAATAGTTCAGACTAGAGATAATAATGATGTAGAATATGGTAACAGAAAAAATGAAGATAAATGAATGCATTTGAGATATGATTTGGGACCACTAATATCAATATTTGTTGACATGCAAGCTACAGGACATGAAAAATTAAACAGTATTACTGGACTGTGACACCTGGCCAATGCTAAAAACTTTAACTAGGATGGAGAAGACTAGTAACAGATATGAGTGGTAGAGATAGCAATCAAATGTTTTATTTGAACTTCGAAATTTTTAAGCAAAAGCTAAATGGAGATGTCAATATCAATAATATACTGGGAGAACGCCCACAACTAAATTCTGAACACTCCAACACTAGGAATATGGGGAGATCCATTAGAAAAGAGAGCACAAAAACAAAATTAGAAGGATCATCTAACAACTGAAAAGTAAAATCAGGAACTGTTTCCAAAAAGAATAGAGAATCAACTATGTGGAAAGCAACCAGGTAGATCAACAAGACAATCAGAGAAAATCTCTTGGATATTGACAAAATGGTTATTGGTGATGAGCATGGAAAGAAAAAAGTCAATAGCATGGTGAAAACTGGAAGTATATATGGAATAAATTAAACATCTTAAATCACAGTCATATCTTAATATTTGCGGGGGTGGGGGTGGGGATTAGTTTCAGGGCACCTTTCTACCAAGAACTATGGATACTCAAGTTCTTTACAGAAATTGCTGTGGTATTTGCATCTAGCTTATGTGCATCCTCTCATGTACTTTAAATCATCTTTAGAATACTTATAATATTTAATACAATGTAAATCCTACATAAATATTTGTTATACAGTACTTTTTTATTTGTATTTTTAAATTTTTTTCAAATACTTTTCATCTATGGTTGGCTGAATTCGCATATGCAAAACCTGAGGTTACAGAGAGCCAACTATATAATTTTTCAATAGAAAATATCATCAGATTAACTATAATAAGTGTAATCATGGAACACAAATCAGCCCAGGAACATCCATTCTATGTTAAATTAGACAGAGAGCAATCCTTGAAATTTAATACCAACCATAGATAATCAAATAAAAACTTCTGAAATATTTGAGGGTTTTTGAGTCCTATGCTTTTCTCAAGTAGTTCTAAAGATTTCCCCACAAATATTCAATCAGTTTTCCCAGATTCACCTACATACTTAAAAGATAAATTGCTAATATGAATAATGTATGACTATGTAAATTTACAATGACAAATGAACACAATAAATTCCTCTTGTAAAACAGGAACAAGTCAGCCTTCTTCTACCTCAAATCTCAAGACATATTGTAAAAATCATATAGCAATTTTTTTGTGTTATTTCTCCTACAAAAAAATCCTGTAATTCGCAGAACTGACATTGTTTAACTTCCCATCCACCTTGTTATCTTTTATTATTTTTTACACAGTTTTAGACCTCAGATTCAGACACTCAATCATAGGCAGTATACGGCATGTTAACACTGGTCTGCACAAACTCCTAACATTTCATTTATCCACATTTACTCTACTTTATTCCTGTTCACTGCTTCCATTTTTCTATTGCACCCTAAGAAATTATCTTAACATATTTGATGGAAATCTTTTTACTTGTGTGCATTATTGTAAAAAAAGTGTAAATTCTATGGTTATATATTTTAATTTATGAAATAAAATGGCGACGTGATATAGATTGTATTCTATTTTTCGAAGCATGATTTTAAGATTTTCTCCTGTCATTCAATGGTACATCTGCAATGATGCTGCAGATTCCCATAATATTCAGGAGTGTACATCTACTAAATGCTATTTTTTCATTCTACTTTTGGTGAATTACTTCATTGCCTCTGCAATCACACATTTAACAAATAAAGCTATGGTTAACATTTTAGTAAATGTTTCTTTAGACACTTTAAGAATTCATCTGGGATATTTACCTAGGAGAAGATTGCTGGGATGTAAAACAAATATATTTAATTTAACTTATCACTACCATTCTGATCTCCAGAATGTATTCATCAGAACATACACATTCCAGCAACCAATGAAAATTCTGAATCTTATTTTCTCATAAAAATTATATTAACAATTTTTAACATTTTGCCATTCTGATGTGCATTAATGGTTCTACAATTTATACTCAGCACCTGTTTTTTTTCCTGAAAATGAGTAAAATGAGTATTCAAACTATGTTCAGAAAAAGAATTCATTATAAAAACTAATAGTAACAAATTGAAAGCCACATATTCTATTGAAAAAATATAGCAATTAGAATTTAAAAACTATTCCATTTAATTATTTTGAGTATTTACATGTCAGACATCTTCCTTTTTAGAAATATTACTTTAATTGACAAATAACAATTGTATATATTTGTGGGTTACTGTTTGGTGTTGTGATGTATGTATACAATGTGGACTGATTAAATTAAGCTAATTAACATATCCATCACTTCACCAATCATTTTTTTTTTGTAGTGAGACATTTGAAATTAACTCTCATCAAGTTTGAAATAGATAATATATTCGTATTAACTGTAGTCATTTTGTTGTGCAATTGATCTCGAAAACAGCAGTGAACAAAAAGCAAAACAAAACAAAACCCAGTTGTGAGCTTTATATGAAACAAAAAACATGTATATAGTTCATGTGTCTCCGGGTCTTCTGTATATACTTAGATTTTGTCTAGACTCACTCGTGTCTGCATTTGGCTGTAAATCAGGCAAGCAACTTTATTAAATTTGTTTTTATATATTTTTCACAGATTTTGGGTTTCCCTGGGTGTAGGCTAGTCTAGTATGTCCTTGGCTGGGGTTAATGGGTTCAACTCCAAATGATCTCTTATTTTCCATAAGGCCAAGTCAGTTTCTTCTCATGGAGAAGGCAGGTGCCCAAGAAAGATAATAGTGGTGAGAAAGGCATCTTGAGTTGTAGGCTAAACAGCATTACACCATTACTTCAGATATATTCCATTAGGCTAAAAGAGATCACAAGACCAATCTAGATGCAAGAGGTTAAGAAATGAGTTCTGCCTTAAAGAGAGAAACTGAAAAGTCACATTGCAAAGCACAGATATACAGGGTTGATTACTTTTGAATACAGAACCCACACACAATGTGGTTTTGGTAACACTTCATGCTTTCACTTACAATATGTCTTGGTTCCTCAGTTGGACTGCTACAATAAAATACTATAGACTCGGTGGTTTACAAACACCAAAAATTTATTTCTCACAGCTCTGGAGATGATAAGTTCATGGACAAGTTTTGATGACGACCTTCTTATGGGTTGAAGACTGCTAACGTTTAGTTATACCCTCACATGATGGAGCAGAGAGATAAGCAAGCTTTCTTGGGACTCTTAGGAAGACACTAATGCCATTCTTGAGGGCTCTGCTTTCATGACATCATCTAATCCTAATTACCTCACCCTCTAACAACATCACATTGAGGAGTAAGGTTTCAACATATGAATTGGAGTAAAGGACACAAACATTCAGTCCATACCAGAGTGAACTGGAAAGCCATTAGAGGGCTTCGAGCAGAAGAATGATATCCATGCAGTGATAACAAGGGGGCAACTGAAAACACAAATCACGAATTCCATGGAGAAGTCTGGGCTGGGAATATAAACATAGATGCTAAAATCACAAACTTCATTTTTTCATTTGTATATATATAAATTTATTAAATTTTATTAAATCATATTTCTACTATAACACATTATCAAAACCCAAGAAATTATGTTTCTGTACAAATATGTGAGAAAACATTGTTTAAAATTTTGATGATCATGAATCTACTCCCAAGTTATGGCATGAAAAATATGAGCTCCTTTATTTACTTTTTTAAACTCCCAAAGTCATGCATGTTAGAAAAATCATATATATTAATCTTGATCTCTTGTTCCTATATTATCATATAGTAATTTGAGTATTTCCTGTTTTTTCCACTTTTGGCATTTTCATGATTCTCCTCCAAAGCTGCACCATTTTTCCCTTATATGAATGTGAGGAGGACCCACCAACAAAGCAATAAAGAGTTTTGCTTTTATTAAAAGAGATTACATATGTGTGTGTGTGTGTGTGTGTGTGTGTGTGTGTGTAAATGCATGCAATATGCAATGTAATTGGCAGACAGTTTATATAGATATTTTGAAGCTATGACTTCAAACAGAGAAAATGTATGGTTGTAATCTTTCTATGTTTCTAGGAAACTAACATAGTTGGCCTGGTTAGGAGAAGTTCCAATTAAGTAGACATCTGTTGAAAACACAACAAAATAGCATACAGTCTGTTTCAAATATCTTTGCATATTGTGGGTGACAGAGAGTTTAATAAAGCAAACAATAAGGGGAATAAGATTAGTACTTTATTGACAATGAAGGGTGAGTAGTTGATACTTGTAGGAAAGGCAATTCAGAAAGTCATTCATAGACAGGCAGGAAATAGGAATTTAAAGAATAGAATTAAATTAAAATGGAATTTTAATTTAAAAACACAGAAAATGAAAAATAACTGCAAGAAAATATTGTATTCTTATATTAATGCTTAAAATATGTATTTAATGCACAATATGAGTTAAAAAATAAATCAATACTAAAAATTGATTTAAAAGAAATATACTATAGAAATATATACAAATATGAGAATATACTATATGTAGTATATTCATACACTATATTAAGAATATATATGTGTGGCCGGGCGCAGTGGCTCATGCCTATAATCCCAGCACTTTGGGAGGCCGAGGTTGGTGGATCATGAGGTCAGGAGATCGAGACCATCCTGCCTAACACAGTAAAACCCTGTCTCTACTAAAAATACAAAAAAATTAGCCGGCTGTGGTAGCACACATGTATAGTCCCAGCTACTTGGGAGGCTGAGGCAGGAGAATCACTTGAACCCGGGAGGCAGAGGTTGCAGTGACCCAAGATTGTGCCACTGCACTCCAACCTGGAAGACAGAGCGAGACTCCCTCTCAAAAAAAAAAAAAAAAAAAAAAAAAAAGAATACATATGTGTATATTTATTTACATACACAAAGGACTTCCACACAAAAACCTCACCTGCAGGTCACCAACATCATAGACCAAAGGTAGATAACCACGAAGATAAGGAAAAAACAGAACAAAATGGCTGAAAATTCCAAAAAACAGAATGCCTCTTCTCCAAAGGATCACAACTCCTCACCAGCAAGGGAACAAAACTGGATGGCGAAAGAGTTTGACAAACTGACAGAAGTAGGCTTCAGAAGGTGGGTAATAACAAACTCCTCTGAGCTAAAGGAGCATGTTCTAATCCAATGCAAGGAAGTTAAGAACCTTGAAAAAAAGGTTAGAGGAATTGCTAACTAGAATAACCAGTGTAGAGAAGAACATAAATGACCTGATGTAGCTGAAAAACACAGCACGAGAACTTCGTGAAACTTACACAAGTATCAATAGCCGAACTAATCAAGCAGAAGACAGGAAATCAGAGATTAAGGATGAATTGAATGAAATAAAACATGAATACAAGATTAGAAAAAAAGAATGAAAACGAATAAACAAATCCTCCAAGAAATATGGGACTATGTGAAAAGACCAAACCTACGTTTGATTGGTGTAACTGAAAGTGAAGGGAGAATGGAACCAAGTTAGAAAACACTGAAGGATATTATCTAGGAGAACTTCCCCAACCTAGCAAGACAGGCCAACATTCAAATTCAGGAAATACAGAGAACACCACAAAGATACTCTTTGAGCAGAGCAACTCCAAGACACATAATCGTCAGATTCACCAAGGTTGAAATGAAGAAAAAAATATTAAGGACAGCCAGAAAGAAAGGTTGGGTTACCAACAAAGGGAAGCCCATCAGACTAACAGTGGATCTCTTGGCAGAAACCCTGCAAGCCAGAAGAGAGTGGGGGCCAATATTTAACATTCTTAAAAAACAGAATTTTCAACCCAGAATTTCTATTTTATTTTATTTATTTTATTTTATTTTATTTTATTTTATTTTATTTTATTTTATTTTATTTTATTTTATTTTATTTGAGATGGAGTCTCGCTCTGTCACCCAGGCTGGAGTGCAGTGGCAGGATCTCGGCTCACTGCAAGCTCCGCCTCCCGGGTTCATGCCATTCTCCTGCCTCAGCCTCCCGAACAGCTGGGACTACAGGCACCCACCACCACGCCCGGCTAATTTTTTTTTTTATTTTTAGTAGAGATGGGGTTTCACCGTGTTAGCCAGGATGGTCTCAATCTCCTGACCTCGTGACCCGCCCGTCTCGGCCTCCCAAAGTGCTGGGATTACAGGCGTGAGCCACAGTGCCCAGCCTCAACCCAGAATTTCATATCCAGCCAAACTAAGCTTCATAAGCAAAGGAAAAATAAAATCCTTTACAGAGTAGCAAATGCTGCAAGGTTTTGTCACGACTAGGCCTGCCTTACAAGAACTCCTGAAGGAAGCACTAACACCGCATGTTCTCACTCACAGTTATGTGAGTTTATGTGCTCTGAAATGTTACTGATGTTTACTGGGCCCATATATTATTTTAATGACAAATATAGGATTGTGCGGAGCAAAAAGTTGCTGATTTGTTTACTTATACTTTTAAATTCAACATAAATTGAAAAAGTATAATTTCATTATTTCACAATTTCTCTCAAACTCTATACCTTTCTACTGGCTATTACTAGTTTTAAAAATGAGTTCCAAACTATATTTAACTATAAGAGAGAACTGAAAAATTAGGGATAAAAATGGTTTTAAAAATAGTTGAAGAGAAACCATTGGAAAGGATAACAAGAATGACCAGAGCCATTAATAAACAAAATAATAGTTTGTCTAATATCTAAACCATTTTCAGGTTGAACTCAACATAAGTTGAATACCACATGAGATCAGCTATTTTTTTTTCCTGTTGCATTTCCTATTTTCCTTCTCTCCTCAAGTTTTTTGCTCTTTAAAAAGTTCTTACATTTAAAATATAAGGTTATGAAACAAAAATTCGAGTATTAAATATGATACTTTTGGAGGAATAAAATTTATGTTCTCTGGTGCTCTAATTTCTTGCATTCCCATTTGCTTCTATTCATGGAATATAGATTAACAAAACTAAAATCAGTATGTGCGTGTGTGTGTGTGTGTGCATGCGCGTGTGCTCATGCGCGTGTGTCTTGCAGAAAATAACTATAATTCAACACATGCAGTACCATATGTTACCTTAAAAAACACTTCAATTTAAAATATATTTTCCAAGATTGATACTGAGCAAAATAATTTTTAAAAATTTGACCACTGTGGGGGAAATCATTGACAATAAGTCAAAGACTGTGATATGACTCCACAAGTAACTAAGGGAAGAGTTCAGAATAAAGGTAATACAGGCATGAGCATTATCTCCCTGTTTGTTCAACTTAATATTGAGAAATGTAGTGGCTACAGACAAAATAAGAGAGGCCCTCTGTGTGGAAGAGAATGAACGACCTTAGATTTAGAAATGATATTGACCTGTCATCTTAGACCTGAAAGAAACTGCACTGAGGTTGGAAAA
The DNA here is from genome assembly GCF_000001405.40 of Homo sapiens. Lineage (NCBI taxonomy): Eukaryota > Metazoa > Chordata > Mammalia > Primates > Hominidae > Homo > Homo sapiens. The sequence goes on along the minus strand of NC_000013.11, from coordinate 89,717,288 downwards.
ATGGAAAAGGAGAGAAAGAAAGCAACAGATTATTTATTTAGAGCAGCTATTTGCCTGAAGTAATCTCAAATGTGGGGGAAAAAAAATGTGGCATAGACTTCTAGTGGCTGACAAAGATTGAGATAAAGAGCCAAACTAACAAGAACAGGCATAGACATAAAATGATGTGAAAGTTATTGCTTCTTAATATAAGAACAATGAGTTTGGAAATTTAGTTTTTAATTGAAAATCTCTATCTTCTCTATTGTCTTAATATGATATATTATATAAATTAAATGACACATGAAACAAAATTTGCAAAAATAACTAGACAGAGTTGACATTTAAAAAAATTGTTCGTGATATTGAGCCATTATATTACTGTAGAACTGAGGAACCAACAATTGATTTAATTTTTGCAAATTTTCTTGAGAAGTTGTCCACACACACGTATGAATCATTGAAACAACTTTGTATCACACTCTTTACATATAAAACCTCTTCTGAGGCAAATAATATCTGAAATATTTAATTGTTTTCTACATGAAAATGACCAAATGTATTTTGTGACCAATTTCAAAATCTACCATCTCTCTGAAGATTTACACAACATTTCTTCTGTCTAGAGAGAATCAATAACTCCTTATAAAATACCATGTACAATGATAGCATGATAGAGAGGTTTTTCATTTATTCAAATTATAATCTTTTGATATCTACATATGAATAAATACATGAATAAACTAATTTCAGTATGTGATAATTCCTATGAATAAAGTGATACATATTACCATGATTTGTAAAAAAAAAATGTATGAGCTAGTTCTCTAGATGACATCATCAGACAAGATTATCTCAGGGTAGGTGATCATTAGCAAATCCCAAATATCAATGAAAAGCCACCTAAGTGGGGCAGGGAAACAGGCTAGTGAAAATCATTTCAGTTGCAGTTGCAGAAAGGTTATAGTAATTCCTGCATGGAACTTTGTGACATCATTCAATTTTTTCACTCACAAAAATAAGAAAAAGCTGGAGTTGCTCTACAGTGACACAGATTCTAAGACAAAATAGAACACGAACAATTCCTATAGAACGCCAGCTAAATATAAGCTTGCACCACCTTCTGAAGTTATACCTCTTTTAAGTAGATGTTCCCACTGAAGCAGCTGATAAATAAATGACCCCTCACAATTGAAATCTGTTGTCATGTTTGGTGAAGCCCCAGGTACTATAGATACTGAGATCTATTAGTTGTACAGAAGGAAGTAAAGTCCTAAAGGATAGAGAATGGGAAAATTGACCAGCAAGAAAGGATAAGTTCTTTGAAGAAAATGTTCAGCAGTTAAAATTAACACATCCACCAAAGGATAATAAAGCATTCATCTACTCCAGGTTGATATATACACCTAATGAGTGTGATTCTTGTGACTGAATCAAGCCATTGAACTATTAAACGATGATACATCAGTATCATTTGAGTTGTAAATCAAGGAAAAAAATACATGACTACATAGGAGATCTACATGGGAGACATTAAATGTAAAACCTAAGAAAAGGAGGAATATTTCCAGCTGATAAAAGCAGACTTCAATGTATATCTTCAATCCTGAGAGAGATTAATCCCATTAATACGTATAAAAAGCTAGTCAAGTAGAGTCAAGTAGATTGACCACACAGAGACAAGAAAGATCAGAAAGCTGTACTTAAAAATTCTAATAGATTTCTAAAGTGTAAGTGAACTAGGCAACAGATCTTAGAATATTATCTGAGAACAAAATTATACAAGTAAATATATTTAAAATTAAAGCCTTTACATGTCACAGGATAGAGACAACCAAATATTTTCTTGAGAGGAAGTGACACTGCAGGGTTAGGATAATCCAAAAACATTCTGAAGGTGGGAGCATTTTGGATATTCTTAGAAGGATTTCTGTTAGTAGTAATTGAAGGCAAGAGATAGTTTCAATTGAAAGAGAGAGCAGCATAAACATAAATATAGACTCAAATTGAGGGAAGTCCAGAATGTTTATGGACTATAGTTGATACCACCCCACTTAGGGAAGTCCAGAATGGTTATGGACTATAATTGATAATGTCCCACTTTACCTGAAATGTATGTTACAATTAAGGAACTATGATAGAGAACACGTAATGCCAGATTGAGGACATATTGTATCCTGCCTTGAATACTAAAGTGCATCAATTTTAATTAATTTGGTAAGCTACAGGGAAACAAATGATGGTTATTGAGTAAGAACATGAACAGAACTTTGGGTTAGAGGAGATTAACTTGGCAGCTGCGAGAATTCTCCCTTGAATATTTGATATTACTGTTTCACTGCTTATAATTAGCTATCATTGTTGCAAGAGTATCATGTTCACTTTGAGAAACTTTCTATTGCTGAAAAACATTTTATGATAAAAAATGTATATAAGCTGTGTACTGATTTTGTTTCTAATTTACATGTGAGTCATGTATTTGTATTTCTTTAACAAAAGATGAATTAAAAAAATGAAAGCATGAGCTATGAGCTGAAGGTTGCTGAAAATATGGTTTCACAAAATGATAAAATGACCAACATAGTTATCCACCTATATGAAAGAGCATACTTCCTTATTACGAAGTAGTATCAATATCTCATAAGTCCTGTATTGGTAAAGTACATTATAATGGCAATTGATCATAATTGGATACATCTTTCCTTAATAATTGGCCCGTGAGAATATTTATTGCCTAAGATTAGCTTACATGCAAAGACATATCAATGGCTAAAAAGGGGACTTTTGAAAGAGTGTTGCTTGAAGGATACAAACCCATCATCTCAATAGAGAATACATTTTATTATTTGGTATGAATAGTCTCTTTTTTGAGACTAAATAACAACAGAATTACACCAGGCATGTATGAGATTGTGAGACATAAAACCAGGTATGTGTTTTACTAATTCACTGTTTTGCATAATAAAATATTTTATAATGAAATTATTTTATTATATTATAGAAATTTGATTGTATGATTGATTGTCCCCCACTGGAAAATTATCACTTCCTTGCAATAGCCAGTATATTATGATAGAAAAAATACACACTACACTAGTTGCACTTACATTAGAAAAAAATAGTGAAAACACAGTGTTAATTTCTTTAGGGGAAAAAGTGGCCATCCTAGAGATTGGCAGGCTTTGGGCAAGAAATTTTGGGAATTTTGTAGGGTTGAAAGTATTATATAATTTTTAGGATATCTGTAATCTATAATGTCTTTATGCATTGAGAATTTGAGTTGTACTGTATTTAAAAGACTTATGTAATGTAGACTTTAACAGATTACAAAGTATTATACACTAGCCTCCATTTGTATTTTAAACTTTGTTTGTCCTAAATAGAGCCAAACAGAATATAAAAAAATACTAACAGAATTATCTGTCAATTGCTTATATTAAATATTTCCCATATCCATTACCTCCCTTGACTTCTGTCATTTACCCCTGGTATGTATTAATTCACGTAGTCAAATTCACTATTGAATGAAATAGCAGGCATTGTATCATTGTGCCTATCTAGGCATTGCAGCATATGGCAGATGAATACCATCTGCTGGGAACATGCTGGACTAGAAACTTCTCTGACACAGCTCTTGTGGATTATGGGCTTCTGGGCTAAATGATATTAAGCTAGGCTGTGTTGAAAACGCCCTATCAGTTAGTTGAATATTGTGGTGCATCATCACATTTAGCCTTATTAAAATTCGCTGATACAGAACACTGGAAGGCATTGCCACACATGACATTAACTGAAAGTGGGTCAACTTGGTTCTTACCAGTCTATTACACAAAATTTCTATGAAAATTGCTATTATTGTTGGTTAGATTCCAATTATTCATAATATCCATGAAATGGTTAGGACAATTTTCTGCTTAATATTGCTCTTCAGAATAATAGCAAGCTATAGAGCACAATGATAATTTCCTTAAGAAAGTAATTTCCAGAGAGTTATTTCTGGGCAATGTAGTCTTTGAGTTCATAAAAGTAAACACATGCATCCACTATATATATACACACACACATATATATTTATATGTATATATACATATAGACACACACTTATAAACACACATATTCTAACAAACCATAGGGAAGTTAAGTATAAAATAATTTTATTTAATTATAACATAGAACTATCATTAAATGCTGGCAGTCCTCACTTTGAATAGTATTATATTAACTGAAACTGGTGCAAATCAGAATTGTGTCTTTGCCTTGCACAGTTCCATGAAAACAAATTACCATAACTCGTGGAAAAGTGGGTGTCTATAGGCGCTAGGCTATAAATTTGGTTTACAAAAATTCCTGTGTTTTCCTTAAGTCACAAGATGGTTTAAATCCCTCTTTCCATATTATTTCAGCATATCTATATCACTTTAATCTACTGGTCCTGGTAATTCTAGTTTTATTCCTCTGTCTCCTGTTCCTTCTACACTACCAATACCATTGATTGAAAATTCTTTAAATTAAGAATCTTTGTCTTATTCTTTCTTGAATTTTAGCACAATAATTTAATATATTTTTGTCATGACCATATTCTTTTGATTTTTGTTATAATATTTTCTCTGAATATAATTTAACCATATGTAACTGTAGATACAAAAACAGCTTATTGTATTATAGCTCATTATTTTCATTATGTATTATAAATTCAGACATTCTATAACCCATTAATCATTCATGTTAGGCATAAATAATTATTTGTGAGCATATTACTAGTATATTTTAATTAATGTCAATAAGATGTTTGTCATATTTCGATCTAATTTTACCTCTTCCCTATTGCATTTTTAAAAATATACATATGACAAAACTTGAATACTGTTTTTTGTTTTCCACATGTTATTTCCTATTCTTTTACAAAAATGTGTGATTATATAATCTAGCAATTTTTCTTTTATTAAACCAACCTTGGACAGGCAAAATACTGCCTCATCAGTGGTCTCCATCATAGTCCACCGATCCCATATTTTTCCACTCTGTTGTGTGCACGTACTCAACACTTCTCAAAAATTATTTATCACATTATTATGAAACCAGGCAAAAGTCAATGGCACAGGTGCCTGCAGATACTAGTGGTTTATATCTCAAGAACATTCTGTGGCATCTTGCGCTCATAAGTTCTGCAGAGAAGTTCACTTTGAGAATAAAAGTTGATATATGCAAACTAGCTAGAAATATCTCAGAAGAGGAAGGCCAGATCCCAGACTCATTATGAGCCAAATAGGGAAGCAGAATGAAAAGAGAGGTGAAAAGTTTTCATGGGATTATATGGGGGAAAAACAGAGGGGTGCATGTGTGTGCGTGTGTGTGTGTGTGAGAGAGAGAGAGAGAGAGAGAGAGAGAAATCATACAAATTTAAACTAAAACTCAAGATAGAAATTTGAGGTAGGAATAATGTCCATCTACTTTGACCAAAAAGTATTAATTTAAATGTAATATTCAGGTTTTTCTTCCTTAGAAATTCTTGTTCAGAGCTTACTTACTTTGAAGCTTTCACTTGAGTTAATGAAGTACCGGAGCTGGTTTTAAATTTGATGTCTAATTCCCGGTATTTTATAATATTGTATTTAGTGTGAACAGGAAAATTGACTTGAATTTTTTAATGTTTATTTATTTATTTGAGACAGTCTCGCTCTGTTGCCAGGCTAGAGTGCAGTGGCTTGATCTCGGCTCACTGCAACCTCCGCCTCCCGGGTTCAAGCGATTCTCCTGCCTCAGCCTCCCGAGTAGCTGGGATTACAGGCGCCTACCACCACACACGGCTAATTTTTGCATTTTTAGTAGAGACAGGATTTCACCATGTTGGCCAGGCTGGTCTCGATCTCCTGACCTCGTGATCCTCCCTCCTTGGCCTCCCAAAGTGCTGGGATTACAGGCATGAGCCATCATGCCCGGCCTGAATGTTCTATTAATTTATAAACCTTTCTAAAAAGTTGAAAACATAAAAAATATAATCCACAATTCTACTATTCAGGCACAACTTTGTTTACTCTCTAGACATTTGTAACTTTACGTTTATTTCATGTTTTCTCTCTCTCTCTTTTTCTCTTCTTGTTGCTATCATGTACACAAATTATTCTGAATTTTTATTTAATTTTAAAATATTAAAATTTCAACATGCTACTCTATTTTGATGGCAGGACTTCTACATGATATATATTTTGAGAATATTACTTATTCTATGTTCAAAATATTTTGTCATATTATAATTTTGTGATATAGTGAATGAACATTTAAATGATCCTTTTTGCATACAGTATGTAAAAGCATTAATTATGATGAATCTGCAGAGGTAGGGTTTAGAGATCAAAATATGTTAACCTTTATATGTTCTTGAATTTTATTTTCAAACTGTTCAACAAATTGTTTTTCAAAAATTATCACTATCGTTTGATAACAAGTCTAGTCATTCTTTAACATGCCTGCTCACATCTCTCTCTCTCATCTATATCATAAATAATTATATTTCTTGTTTTAAATTCCTGCACGTCTCAATTACTAATGAGATGATATTTTGGATATGAATCCTACTGGATTCAGTATTGTAATTTCTTGGAAAGATTTTAAAGGGGAAATAAAAACTGGTTCTATTCCTTGGTTAGTGTAAAGAGAACACACACACACACACAATTTTAAAATTTCTTAATAAATTGCCTAGAGAAAGACACATAAATTGTTAGGTGCAAGATTGACAAAAAAGAATGTAGGAGCTGATATAAGCAAATAAACAGAGCTTTCTTCAGCTCACAGGTCATTGGGGAAACATGCCACTGTTGGTGTTCCTTTCTCTTCACGGTAGTGCATCGATAAATACAGAAGATGCCACACCCACCATATATTAAGATTCACATCAATACTCAGGAAGGAATCAAACAGTCTTAGTCTTAATATAACACATTTTGAAAAATGCAAAATATTCTTACCATCAAAACAAACTGAGTAATAACATGGACACCACTGTCCCCAGCAACCCCACAGCATATTGGGAGAAAGAGGAGGCAAATCTCACTGCACCAGTAACTCTGACTTCAGTTTTCTAGCATCCTAGGAAGTCCATTTATTCATAACTCATCCTTGATTGTGATTTAAGGCTTCTTGATTTGAGGCATTCTGAGTCAGATTCATACATTAATAATCACGATCAAAGCGTTCACCTAGTCCGTAGGGATCAGCATGGCTCCCTAATCCAGGGGTCCTAGTCATTTTGTGGGCACCTAATCATGGCTACTAATTCCCTTCTCATCTAAAATTTTTAGAAGGGTTTCTTTTTCCAGCACTGAATACTGCCTGATACTATTGACAGTCTTGTCACTTAATCAGAAAATATTATAACAATAATAAATGTAGTGTAAAAGGATGGATATGTATATAACAGGCGAAGTTTAACAAAAATACAGCATAACATGTACTATTTTATGGAAAATGCTTTATATTGTTTATCACTTATTTTAAGCAGGAAATTAACATGTAAGTAAGTTTTAAACATAATCTATAAAGAAATTTGTGGAATGTGGCCAAAGCTAAATTCATGAGCAAACCACAAGGTAAAATGGTGTTAACTAAAAATTGTCAATGTAAATATTCATTAGTTAGCCTTCTAAAGCCAGTCAAACATAGAAAATCAAAGATAAAACGAATGTAAGCAATTGAAATAAAAGATTACAAAAACGAAGTAATTCATTAAAAAATAGAGACAATAGGTTGATAATTACATACTAGGGAAACTATGTTTTCCAGTGTCAAGAAGAGAAAACACGAATGCTAGACTTTAAGATAAGAAGGGAATAATATTGTAAAAGGCTTATATAGTTACTAAAATCCAAATTGCAAGAAATAAAAATCAGGTAACCAATTTTAAAATGTTCAAACTCAACACATACAAAAATAAAATAATGATGTATCATAGTTTATTAAATTGCTGAACATTTTTACACAGGGATAAGCAAGGTTTGTGTATCTGAAAGATAAACATATACTTATAAAGTTGTTGGAAAAATAAATTTACACATAAAGCCTAGATAATTTGATAAGCAGAAGTTAAACTAACAAAATCTGAACAAAGACAAGCAACAAAATTTCTCATCTTAAAGTCTATTTTGATTGATATACACTGAGGAAATTTTGAATATAGGCCCTGTATTCCTTGGAATTGCTTCAATTGGAAAGCTAAATTTCAAATATGGATAAATTATTTAATGAATAAGCTTCAGCTATTTAAATAGCTACTATGTAACTGTTAATACAAAATGTTTTGAAAACATTTAATGGCATGCAAAAATGTTTACAATTTACTGAAAACCATGGTGGAGACCACATAGGCCCATTTTTAAGAATAAAACAATCGGCTGGGTGCGGTGGCTTACACCTGTCATCCCAGCACTTTGGGAGGCCGAGGCGGGTGGATCATGAGGTCAGGAGATCGAGACCATCCTGGCTAACACGGTGAAACCCCGTCTCTGCTAAAAATACAAAAAATTAGCCAGGTGTGGTGGCGGGTGCCTGCAGTCCCAGCTACTCGGGAGGCTGAGGCAGGAGAATGGCATAAACCCAGGAAGTGGAGCTTGCAGTGAGCTGAGATCGCGCCGCTGCACTCCAGCCTGGGCGACAGAGCGAGACTCTGTCTCAAAAATAAATAAATAAATAATAAATAAATAAATAAATAAATAAATATAGATAAAACAATCACACACATACATTAACAGTATTTTTAAACTAATTTTATTTGAAGTTATCCCTGGTCAATAAGGTTTATAATGATTTATAAATGTATTCATTTTATGTTTTTCTATGCTATCCTGTTCCTAATTAAGATCATATTATTTTATAAGATAATGCTTATTGTCAAAAGTTCTTATCCTGTCATCTTCTGAAAGCTGGTTTCTGTGCTTATTAATAGAGCAACATGGAAAATAGTTTTTCTCACATCGAGAAAGCACCACTCCCCACTACGTATCTTTCCCTCTCCTTTAGGAATCATGCTGAGAAGACTCCTTAGTGTACATGTCTCATCGACCTTTGGAGATTAATTTTGAAAAGAGAATTTTTATGTCAGTACATGAATTCCTTGTCAGTAAAAATGAAACTGTGCGTCAATGGATTTCTATTCCAGATGACTGAGCAAATTACCAGCTGTGTGACTTTAATATCTCAACATCTCAACTTCATTTCTTAAGCTTTAAAAAGAGAGTTAGAGAAGATAATCTCGAGAATTTCTATTACTGGAATCTCATGCTCGATATTGGGAAAGGGAGACGGCGGTTTTTAGATGCTGTAAATAGTACTTCAGTAAACCTCCATCTACATGGATTCCTGCACATCAGGATTCTTTTCTCTCCTGGGTAGGATCCTGACATGGGATTTTTGGACCACAGGAGATTATATACAAATATACATGCATATGTATCACATATAACATACGTAATATATAAGGTCATTAATACAACACAATTACAATAATAAATTAATATTATTAAATATTTAATACATGTTAGCATATTTCTTTCTGAAAAGGTTACAGCTTGTTAAGTTCTACCAATGTATATGGAAGTGTCTTCTTCCTTACAATAGATGCCAGAAAATCAAGTTAAATTATTATTAATACATGTTGGCATATTTATTTCTGAAAAGGCTAGTGCTTGTTAAGTTCTACCAATGTGTATGGAAATGTATTCTTCCTTACAATAGCTGCCAGAAAATCAAGTTAAATTATTATCTTTCCTAATTGTTGCCATTCTGAAGACTATACAATTATGTTGTATATTTTCTTCATTTTTATTTGCCTATGGAGTAGTGATTCTGAGCAGCTTCTCCTATTTTCTTGCCCAGCTCTCCTCTGAACTGTCTACTCATATTCCTCCTTACTTCCAGTTAAGAACTATGGATCACTGTTTTTGGAAGAGTTGTGATGGCACTAGAAGATTCTGATTCAAAATCAGAGCTTTACAGAGAGCATGATGGTGGTTACCACAGGCTGGGAGTAGCGGGAAGGGGAAGATGTTGGTCAAAGGATACAATGTTTCAGTTAGACAGGAGGAATAAAGGATAAGTTTTTGAGGGGATGAATTGTTAATTAGCTTGATTCAATCATCCCACATTTGTTTGTGAGTGCGTGTGTATGTATGTGTGTGTGTGTGTATATATATATATAGATATACATATACATATATATATAATAGCATCACTTTGCACCCCATAAATATATAGAATTATAATTCTCCAATGTGAAATGGAAAAATAGCACTGTAAAAGTAATTATAATTATTTTATTTAGTTAAAAATTAAAATAAGGATTATATTTTATGGATATAAATGGGAATAAATTTTGCTCAAGCTATTTCCTGCATATATTGGTCACTTACGTGCTACTGTCAGATCTATACACACACACACACACATACACACTCCCACAAGCATAGAAATAATATATATAAATACTTTGCACACAGTTTTACATACAAAACTATATGCAATGTCAAACCACATTTTAGTAGACTGATGCAAAGATATGGTACAGAGAGCATGACAGAGAACTAGAACCTGAAGAAAAATATGGCCCAAGACTTTTTCCCAGTTGTGGAGTTCCTAATTGACGATTAAGGACGGTGAGACTGCAACAAAACCTTTAAGAACAGAGTGAAATAAAGGTTAGCTACACAATCATGCAAAAACAGGTAAAATGTGTTTATGGAAGCACGGAGCTGACCAAGAACTAGGAAAGGGGAGGGGTAGAAAAAACAGAGGGACAAGGAGAAGGAAATAGAACATGGTAAGATAAATGAAGTCTGAGGAAAAATACAGCCAGAGACAAACTCCCAGCTGCAGGGTTTCTACTTGACTCCAAGATCAGGGTTTTCTACAGAACTAGTATATTTTAAGAGTATCTTGTTGGTACAACATAAACTTTCCTTGGTACATCTCTTGCTACACATATACCTTGAGTGAATAATGTGGGGAAAAATAATAGAAAGGACCCTTATTCTGTGTCTCAGTCAAGAACAAGGAGAAAACGTGGCTGTGAATGCAAAGTGAATGTGATTTAAGGAAAAACAGGGAATTGAGAGCCAGAAATGGATAAATTGCTATTTTAGGCATCTTACATTTTAAGTGGAAGAAATCTTGGTAGTTTGAAATGCAGAACTAGTCTTGTAATGAAGATCAGGAGAGGATATATTGGCACGGAGTTATTGTTTCATTGGGTGACAGTGGGAAGTGCTCCTGAACAAAGAATTTCCGAAAGAGCGAGAGCTTCAGGTAACATCCAGATTATGAAGTCAATACTGAAATGATGGTTTTGAGATAAACACCTTTTAAATCATTAAAATTATAAAATTCTGTTCAGTACATATGTGATGGTTAATACCAAGTGTCACCTTGATTGGATTGAAGGATGCGAAGTATTGTTACTGCGTGTGTCTATGAGGGTGTGGTCAAAGGAAATGAACATTTGTGTCAATGGACTGGGAAAGGCGGGACCACACTCAATCTGGGTGGGCACCATCTAATCAAGCTGCCAGCACAGCTAAAATACAGCAGGCAGAAGAAAAGTGGAATTAGCAGACTTGCTGAGTCTTCTAGCCTTCATCTCTCTCCTATGCTACATGCTTCCTGCCCTCAAAAGTCAGGCTCCAAGTCCTTCAGCTTTTGACTCTTGGATTTACACCAGTGGTTTGCCAGCAGTTCTCGGGCCTTTGGCCAAAGACTGAAGACCGCACTGTTGGTTACCCTGCGTTTGAGGTTTTGGGACTCAGACTGGCTTACTTGCTCCTCAGCTTGCAGACGGCCTATTGTGGGACTTCACCTTGTGATAATGTGAATTAATAAACTCCCCTTCATATATAAATCTAGCCTATTAGTTTTTCTGTCCCTCTAGAGAAACCTAATACAACATATCTAGTACTTAATATAGTTTTTAACATTAAAATTGGGAAGACATGTGGTAAATAGAAAGAACCCAAGAATGTTCCAAAAATGGCTTCATTCCCCAGGCTGGCAAACAAATACGGTGCTTTTTGTTTCTGTTTTTCTGAGATTTAAGAACATTATCTTTGTGCAATTTTATTGATTACCACATGAGAGAAAAATAGGAACACTTATAATGAGAAATCTAAAACATTACTATATAAAGGGGAAACTACTATTCTTTGATGTCTTTGCAGAGATAAAATTATTCAAGTATTTAATAAAAACTATGTTTTCAAAGGCATGTTATTTGTGGATTCAATAATGAAATTCAAAAATAGAAATAGTGATTGTATTTCAAGTAGTGAATGCAAATGTTCTCAGTGACATCTGTTTCCATTGTTTTATTAGCATATACGTTTTAATTCCATTCTAAAAGTATGCATTTATATTCTCAAAGTTATCTTTTTAAATTTTTTCTTTATATTGTCTGTCAGTAGAGAGAGTAATGATGTGTATTATTTGCAATCTATTGGCATATTAAGGCGACAACAAAGAGTCGTAGTATATGTATAGAGTCCTGGTACAACATTTATTAAAGCTAACATTGTTATGTGCTCCAATCTTTATATTGTAACTTTTGTTTTGAAAATGTTAGCTGTTTATTTCCATAAAATAAAATAAATAATCCCAATACATTATGTGAACGTCTTTAAATTCCCAAGAGCTATGATTGTTTTTTCCATTTTACACAGCAATAACTTTATTGATTTCAAGAATAAATGAATATATCACTTTAGAAATTATTAGATTTATAGTAAAAGAAATACTTGTCTCCTAATAAAAACTCATACATAATAATTCTTCACTTATAAACATGATGTACTACTCTACACTTTTTCTCTGATTTTCAAATTTGCTAAATATACCAAGAACATTAATCAATGTGCTATTCTTAAAATGTTAAATTTTTTAAAGTACTATATGAACACTGTAATTTTCTCCAAAAATGTTGGGTACATTAAATAACCAAGGCTAGTGGCCTTTCAAATAAGTTTTTTTATTAATATAATGAACTATTAAAATTTAATATTTTATTGTAATATAATTTTAAATATATGACTAATAAAAATAAAATAATTAATATTAACAGGTAATATTTCATTTAATAATAGAGATATTAATAAATATTAGTTTCAGATAAATCCATAACTAAACTTTAATGCTCATAAAATAACTCATAGTAACATACATCAGTTATGTTAATATAAATCAGTTTATAAGGCAAAATAATGTGAAACAACACTTATTTCATATTAGTGATATGGTTTGGGTGTCCCCACCCAAATCTCACTTTGATTGTAACAATTCCCGCCATCCTGTGTCAAGGGCAGGGCCAGGTGGAGATAACTGAATCTTGGGAGTGGTTTCTCCTATACTGTTCTCATAGTGAATATATCTCATGAGATCTCATGGATCTCATATATTTATAAGTGGGAGTTCCCCTGCACACACGCTCTTTCCTGCCGCCATGTAAGACATCCTTTTGCTCTTCCTTCATCTTCCTCCATAATTGTGAGGCCTCCTCAGCCATGTAGAACTGTGAGTCCATTAAACCTCTTTCCTTTATACATGACCCAGTCTTGGGCATGTCTTTGTTAGTACCCTGAGGACAGACTAATACAAATAGGTATAGTAAAGAAACGCTTCTTGAATACGATATAAAAATTTGCTATCCTGAGATTAAGAATGTGAGTCAACCAAATGAAAGAGTGAAGACACCCAGCAAAATTCTTTAACTTTTAATGTGATTTCTGGGCAGTGACTGTGTTCTGTCTTCATTTTTGAATAGTCCTCTTCAGTAACTGAAAAACACCTCTATTTCACAAGCTTTTGTTCTTAGTATATTCCTAAGCCAAGAACTCTTTTTGTGGGTGAATGTAGGGTATCTAAGAAGTGAAGAAAAAAGCAATATAACACACAGATTTTAAATGCTATAATTATTGATATAACAAATTAAAATTTAATATTATATAAAACATTTAGTATTTGATTATTCTAAAGTCATTATTAGAAATTATTGATGTTTATTAATAGTTCAATAATGCTATGAATGGAATATAGTAATATAGCACATGCATTTTGCTTCGTTCCATCTCTCATGTATCTACCTGTGTAAGTAATAGTAGGTCTTCAATAATGCTTGTTGTTACTGACTGAATATTGCACATTTTCATTAACAGAAATTTAACCAGGGCTCACAGTAAAAACATTTTGAGTTAATATATTATTTATTATTTTAGCATTATTCAATGAAAGTGATAATAACCAACATGGCAGAATTTACTTAATTTAATCAAAATTTTTATTTCCTACATCCTTGGAGTCATGATTCACAAAATACTCACTTATATCTTCATGGGAATAAAAATTTATTTTACTTATATATTAGATTTTTTAGCTATAAAATTATTCTATAGTAATATAGGTACTAATTGCAGTATGAACCTGTGCATTTATAATCTTTAAACAAAATAAACATATTTTCATGCCAGGGTGAGGGATTCTTACTGAATATATTGTTTTGACATAAATAATGCTCATGCTATTTGAATCATAGATGGATGCCACATGTTACACCCTCAGATGTGATTTCAAATTTGATTAAGTAGTATAAGTTTCAATTATATAAGGGATGTAATAAGGATGGATAGTGAAAGTTTGCAATATGCATTTTTAAGAAATCACAAAAAAATCAAAAGGAAGAAAACAATGAGAGATGGTCAAGTTCCTTTTCTTCCTGAAAATTAATAGTTCCTAAATAATGAATAGAGGAAAATTTCTCTTCATGGAAAATAAATACAGACCCAGCCTATGCCTCAAGCATAGAACATATGGAGTCAAATAAGGACAAGATAAATTGTTAAAATATCATGAGTCACTCACTGATTTTACATAATCAATTTGGGTATCGAATTGTGCTAATGCTCAATACTTTTCTCTGTGTAATATGTAGTTCATTGAAGGAAAAATAAGTCTCTGTTAAGACAAATTCTCGGAGGAGGCAGTTTCTGTCTCTTATCTCTGCTGTGAACAAGAGTCGTAACTGTGGTAGGTTGTACCAAGCCTGATGCATAGCTATGGCAGTTATTCGCGAGGTCTTAACCTCATTATTTTAAAAAAGTTGTAAATGCCATTACGGAAGACCATTTATTTGGAAAGGCATTCCATCATGAGTCCTCAGCGTTCCATCGTGAGTCCTCAGCATTCCTGCACCTTCTTGCTAACTGTGCCAGACAGCAAGGCTTACCTGTCTTCTAATACTGAGCACTTTCTATGGCTAGTCACATAGGCAACTGGTAGGTTAAGAAAACTGCAGTGTGATCACTACGTAGCTTCCCACTTTCCAAGAGAAAGTAGACTGGCTAATTTGCTAATTGGTAAAATCTTTGCGGCTTGCTAAAAACAAATAAACACAAACAAAAAACTATTGATCTCTTGTTTTGTGTTCCTTAGGTATTCCACAACTCATTGTGTGTTCTGCCTTCATTGTGGCTCCTCATATCACCCTAAAGAATTGAACAGCAGAGCTACCATTGCATATATGGTGATACTCTGACTACTGCTTTTTCTGAAAATTATTCATTCTTTCATCTCTGATCCAAGAGTTTTATATGCATCTATGGAATTGTGTCAGTTTCACACGTCAGCTTGCAAATCACAGAAAATCTCAGACCTTCCCCAGTTCTTGATGTGATTGAACTCTTCATTGTACATTTTTTTGGGGGGGTGGAGGGGGGTGGCGGGGATGGAGTCACCCAGGCTGGATCACAGTGGGGGAATCTCGGCTTATTGCAACCTCCGCCTCCCAGGTTCAAGCGATTCTCCTGCCTCAGCCTCCTGAGTAGCTGGGACTACAGGCGGGTGCAACCACGACTGGATAATTTTTGTATTTTTAGTGGAGACAGGTTTTCGTCGTGTTGGCCAGGCTGGTCTGAAACTCCTGATCTCAGGTGATCCACTCACCTCAGCCTCTCAAAGTGCTGGGATTACAGGCTTGAGCCACCACGCCTGGCCAAAATTTAATTTAAGCATAAAAAATAAATCTACCTATATTAAATTGTACAGTTTTGATTGCAACTTCAGCCACCTTTTTAATTATTTTTTACAGGTAGCATGTGTTTTTTTTTTTTTTTTTTTTTTTTTTTTTTTTTTTTTGAGACAGAGTCTCG
Organism: Homo sapiens; assembly: GCF_000001405.40. Classification (NCBI taxonomy): domain Eukaryota; kingdom Metazoa; phylum Chordata; class Mammalia; order Primates; family Hominidae; genus Homo; species Homo sapiens. The sequence continues at coordinate 89,701,134 of NC_000013.11, read as the reverse complement.
CTCTGTCGCCCAGGCTGGAGTGCAGTGGCGCAATCTCGGCTCACTGCAAGCTCCGCCTCCCGGGTTCACGCCATTCTCCCGCCTCAGCCTCCGGAGCAGCTGGGACTACAGGCGCCCGCCACTGCACCCAGCTACTATTTTTAGTAGAGACGGGGTTTCACCATGGTCTCGATCTCCTGACTTCATGATCCACCCGCTTCGGCCTCCCAAAGTGCTGGGATTACAGGCGTGAGCCACTGCGCCCGGCCTGCAGGTAGCATTTCACTAGCAGTAATAAAGCCCAGAAATATCCTCATGTAGATGGTACAAGCTTTCTCATTATTCGAATTCTGCCGGTCATCTACTCCTTGTTCCTTATATTTTCCCACATCCATCTGTGTAGAATTTTGCTTTCCTGTGAAATTTCTGAATTCTCTGACTTCTCACCAGGAAATGATTAAAAGTTTATTTTCAGATATTCCTTACCAGACTACGTCTCTCCAAATAGGTTATGCTTTGTAAATTTCTCTTAATAGTGGTATATATATTCTAAAAGTTATTTATTTGTTGTTCCCTAGAACAAATAATGTATGTATTATTTGTTCTAGATCTGTGGTCTCTGATGTACTATGTGATCTATGCTCTTGTGTTCTCTCTTTTGTTGTCAATATTTTTCAGGTTAGCCTTTTCTTCCTGGAAGCCAAGGCTAAAAACAAATCCCCTATTTTGTAGTACCATGATCATATTAAACTCCTACCACAAAGATCCAAAGTGATGTTATCTTCCAGTATTAAAATATAAAAATGTGTAGCACTTACATAGACCAGATGCATGTAGTTTTTACCACGTAGCAGACATAGATTTTTAATTTCTTCAGAAATAAAAACGTATGTAAGAAACCTGCACGTTGTGCACATGTACACTAGAACTTAAAGTTTAATTTAAAAAAAGAAATAAAAGCTAGTATCTTTCATAATCACCAGATATTGTAAAGTGACTTGCGTGAAGTTATGCAGCCAGTACTGGAAGAACTAGAATTTAAACCAGGGCAGACTGTCTCAAGTATCTATTCTTAGCTATAAAGCTAAGAGGGTTTTTTTTTGTTGTTTTTTTTTTGAGACGGAGTCTTGTTCTGTCGCCCAGGCTGGAGTGCAGTGGCACGATCTCAGCTCACTGCAAGCTCTGCCTCCCGGGTTCACGCCATTCTCCTGCCTCAGCCTCCCAAGTAGTTGGGACTACAGGCGCCCGCCACCACGCCTGGCTGATTTTTTTTTTTTTTTTTTTTTGTATTTACACTAGAGGCGGGGTTTCACCATGTTAGCCAGGATGATCTCAATCTCCTGACCTCGTGATCCGCCCACCTCCGCCTCCCAAAGTGCTGGGATAACAGGCGTGAGCCACCGCGCCCGGCCAAGAGTCATTTATTTGAATAGTGATAAATTCAGAAGTTTAATTTCAAGGTCAGACCAAATTTCTTTAGTACTTCTATTAAAATGGCATCCAAGAAAATAAATATTGAAATTTGAAAACAAAACATCTCTATCACTACCAAATTTTTCCCATTATGCCACCAACCAAAGCACCCCCTACCAACATATTTCTGACTATTTTCTACAAAATTGTTCCCCTGATTATCCCTTGTGGTGCTATCTTAGAAAAGCAGGTATCTTCTTAATATGAAGTAGAATAATATAGTGGATAGACTTTGGCAACTGACACATGATTGGGGTCCAAAATAGAGCCTGAATTTCCTTCAGGACCTTGAACAAATAAGAGCATTTACTGAGGTTTTGTTTCCCGCATTGAAAATTTGAGACGATAATATGTCTGTTACATGGTTGTTGTGAGCTTTAAAGGTACTGTTATTTTTATGGTACAGCATAACCATGAAATAAGTATTATTTAATTCTCTTCTTTACAAACTTTATCACGGAGTGTTCTTTAATATCTGACACCTGTTCCAATTTCACACATCACTGATCTTTGGTGGATAAAATGGGAGACCACAGTATATATTTATTAAACTACCACAGTGAAGATTAAATTAAAGGCCAGATTCTTTATTCTAGTGATTTCCAAAGTAAAGTTTCTGTAAAGCACACAACGTTTTTTGACAAGAGAAACCTCCTCTTTCATTTTCTATTTTTTAATTATTAAATTATTTTTGTTAGAAAGACCAATAATATTCAATATTTGATATTAAATTAATGAAACTAACTTATTTTTCAATAAAGCAAACATGCTTTTTCGAGTAAAATATACAACTAAAGCAAAGATTAGGCTTTATAATTTTCTTTGTATTATTCTCTTACACAACTGTTTCATCCTCTTCAAGTAAACAGTTTAGAAGTAATCTCGAAATGTCCTTCAGGACAAAAATATTTATCTTCTTTTTAGCCTCAGCGTTATGTATTAAAATTAAACTATCTACATAGGCCAAGTTAATTGAATGGATTTTAATATCAAGCAATTAAAAATGAAAATAATGTGGCCAGGAGCAGTGGTTCACGCCAGTAATCCCAGCATTTTGGGAGGCCGAGGCAGGTGGATCATGAGGTCAGGAGTTCGAGACCAGCCTGGCCAAGATGGTGAAATGCCATCTCTACTAAAAATACAAAAATCAGCCAAGTGTGGTGGCAGGTGCCTGTAATCCCAGCTACATGGGAGGCTGATGCAGGAGAATCGCTTGAACCCGGGAGGCGGAGGTTACAGTGAGCTGAGATCACGCCACTGCACTCTAGCCTGGGCGACAGAGCAAGACTCCATCTCAAAAAAAAAAAAAAAAAAAGAATGCAATGATTGTTAATCTATTCTGATTTTAGAAGAGAAAGTTAAATTGGAGCTCTCCACAAGATGAGTTCTAGGATGTTACAGAATATTGGAAAATCTAGAGAATTAGATAATCATATCCCCATCTGTTTCTCTTCTCCAAAGAACCCACAAACTTAATGTATCATCAGTGTCACACAGAATTATAAACAAAAACCTATGATGACCTCTATAGATATATAGATACTGAAAAAGTATTTGATAAAATTCCTCATACCTTCATGACAAAAACCTTCAAAAAACTAGACATCCAAGAAACACACCCAAAATAATTAAATGCATATACAACAAACCCACAACAAACATTATCCTGAACAGGGAAAACTTGAAAGCATTCCCCTTAAACCTAGAGCAAGACAAGGATGCCCAACCCTCACTTCTATACAGCATAGTATACAAAGACCTAACAAGAGCAATCAGGCAAGAGAAAAAAATAAAAGGCAGCCAAATAGGAAAAGCGGAAGTCAATTGTCTATAATCACTGATGGTATCATCTTAGACCTAGAAAACCGTAAAGACTCCTCCAAAAGATATCTATGTTTGATAAATATCATATTTATCATATTATTATTATCAAACATATTATCTATGTTTGATAAATGACGTAAACATAAGACCTGAAAATATAGAAAAATTTATTCTGAACACTGGCCTAGGCAAATAATTTATGACTATGTCTTCAAAGGCAAACACAATAAATAAAATTAGACAAAAGGGATTTAAGTAAAAATAGTCTACACAGAAAAAGAAAGAATCATCAGAGTAAACAGACAATCTACAGAACGGGAGAAAATATTTATAAACTATGCATCCAACAAAGGGCTAATATCCAGAATCTACAAGAAAATGAAACAACTCAACAAGTTAAAAAAAAAAAAAAATCCCTGCTACTACTACTCAGTAACCCTTAATATTACTCAGCCATTTTTTGAAAAATGAAATCATGTCTTTTGCAGCAACATGCTTGGAAACTGGAGGCCGTTATCCTAAGGGAAATTACTCAGAAACCAAAAGTCAAATAACGTATGGTCTCACTTATAAGCAGGAGCTAAACAATGGGTACAAATGGACATAAGAGGGGAATAATAGACATTGGAAACTCCAAATGGTGGGAAGCCGGGAGGGTAGGAACTGATAAAAAAAAAATTACTTTTTGGATACAGTGTACACTGTTTGGATCATGGGTGCACCAAAGGCCCAGATTTCACCATTACATATATCCATGTAACAAAACTACACTTGTTACCCCTAAATCTATAAAAATAAAAAAAATTTCAGCTGAGATTGGGCAGAAAGAATGGCCAATTAAGTCAACTGAGTCCCATTAGACTAGTTTCTGAAAATCAGAAGATTAAATTTTTGACAGGTCACAGAATAGTAGCTTTACTATGTCAGGGATACTGTTCTTAGTCCTGAGAACTGAAATCCTTTATAATATAAGAACTAGTGTATCTCCTGAAAGGGTGAGCTGGACGTTCACAAACTGGGCATCCATGTGTTAGTGCCAACTTTGAGTCAACTAATGGCATGACAGCTCATTCCAGCAGCCAACTGCTCTGCTGCTGTTACTAGGTAATAGATAAAGGCAATTAGCACCAAATGCTCTTTTTCATTCTTGGCCATCGTGGTTGGGAAGGAGGGAATGCATACATGTCTCTCAAAGATTTGAGAAAGTTTCTTTCAGTCTATTAGACTATTGATGAGTGGGAAGAGCACTCAGTTTCTTGTGCCATTTTATAATATCGGGCTTCCATTTTGGGCCTTTGATTGTATGGAAAATTTGCAATAATTCCACTTGATTTCCATGTTAAAATGCCCAAATCTCCACAACTTATTGAGCCACTGAATCCATCCTTGCTGATGGATAGCTCTCTTGTACAATTCTCAAAAAAAAGTCAAATCATTTTGTAGCCCAATCCCCTGCAAAAAAATTATGAATCTCATAATAATAATATTATACATTATATGTTCAATATTATATTTCCCATTATGAATATTGCATAGCATATATTACTCATTGTATGTAATATGTTATATATTTATATTATAAATATTATATATTATATATTCATACATGGAATATATACAACATAAGATATACTATTTAGTATATACAACATATATCATACTACCAATAGTTGCTACATATTACCAATATCATATCACATATGCCAGGCACTGGTATAAGCATTTTAATTCATTTAATTCCTGCAATATTCTTATGAGTTAGGAATCATTTTCCAAATCTTACAGATGAAGATTGAAGCTAGTTATGTAAATCATATCATCCTCTTTGCCTATTTTAAAGAAAGCTTACAGTTAAAATTCGAAGGTTGGCCATATCCAAAATATATAATTAAGTTACCTGTGACTCTCTCTGGCAGAAACAACCACTACCAAGATGCCAGTGTGCTTGGGTGCAACTGGGTATGGTGTTTAGCTTTCAGTTATACCCATGCACCTTAATTTTCTGCCACTTGGAGGCACTCGTGTACCATAGGAGAGAATTTTCCAGCTTTAAACTTGGCTTCTCAAAGGTTACCGCTGAAGTATAAACTACAACCTCTAACGTCTGCCCAGATCTTGCAAATCAGAATCAGTAATACTGGTAATCAGAACCTGGTGTTACTGAATTGGTGTTGCCCTTTTAGCTAGGTCATCAAGACTGGTCCAATCAAAGCATCTCACTTTCTTCAGATTAAAGGAATCCCTGCCATCTTAACCTTCCAGATGGGTGGTAGCCAGGCATCTGGAAGGAGAGCCTTAGGATATGGACCTGGCTTCAGACTGCAGAGCCTGGAGCCCAGGATGACCCTGTCTACTAGGATGAAGGAAAGAAGACTGAAAAACCAAACAATGCATCAGTTGAAAGAGTCTGTGCTTCAATGCAGAATACAAAAGAGATCTGAAACCATACACCTTCAAGGAGTTTGCAGGCCAGTAGAGAATAAAAACTGGTGAGCATGCTTTAAGGACTAAATCTGCAGAACTTTTTTCTTCAGGTCTTCCTGGCTACAAAAGGGGAGGGTACAGTTAAAGGAGCTAGTCTATCTGAAACTGAATTAGAACTATGATTAAGAATTGGTAAAGTGATTCAAGTTTTTGGCATTATTTACAGAACTACTTGTACGTATAATAGTTAAAATCAATTTTAATATGATATTCTTTAAATGGAATCATTTTTAGAATCATGTATAATTAAAATTTTATATTACACCGAGATACACTTGTTTTTTAGCAAGACATTTTCTTATTAAAATTAATGTGAAGCTCCAATGCCAAACACTAGAATAAGACTATTCTATTCCTTGCCTTGAGACCACCTGCCTGTGTGAACTTGAGTAGCCCAATTTTTCCCTTTGAACATTGTTGTGTTTTTCAAAAATATCTGATCAATGTACATAATGATCTCTAAAATCCTTGTAGCTTTAAATTCTGGGGTTTCTTAAAAAAAAGGAACCCCCTCCAAAATGCTTTTCTTAAACCACAGTAAGATTTGATTCCCTCTAAATGAAATACAAAAAGAGTATTGTTCTTAAATGTTTGATATAGTGATTTCTCTTAATTGTTTTTCCTCCTGCTGTAAGAACATGACTTAACAACTGTGATGTTTGATGAAAACTGAAGATTTTTTTTAAGTCAAAAATAAATAAATTGGAGTGCTTACTCAGAACTGCAACAGCTGTGTTTTGATGTTTACAATCACAGATGTTAGATGTTTCCAGATGGAAACACGGTTGTCAGTCTTCAATTTCCTTGAGAAAGAACTATATAATGATGGTAGTTAAAAACCAGTTTCATAGATTTTCTGTGATGCTAGTCATGAAATTCTATAGTTTGCTTGAAATATATATCTAACATAGCTTTCATTTTATTGTGCATATTTATTTCAACCATTAAAAACAATCTGTTTATTTAATTTTATTCCACATAAAATACCAACAAGGTTGTTCACAATAGTGTTTCAATTAAGGTTCCATTTTTTAAATCTTGAATATTATCTAGCTAGGTTATGGTTATGAATTATTAAAATACTTGCAAATAGAATTGTGACAATTGAGAATTTAAAAAAAGTATGTTTTTGAGTGTACCAAGCTCTGGCTAGAATGCTTTTATAAATAATAATCATATGTAATATCTGTTGTTCTTTTACTCTGTGACCATCGAGTTAAATATATATAATTCTACTTCATGTGTAAACGTTGCAATGATTTTATGAAGAAGGTACTATTATTTTATTATCCACATTTCACAAGTGAATTTGAGGTATAGAGAGGCAAAAATAACTTGCTAAACTTCATACAGCAAAACAAATGAGGTAGTCAAGATTCAAACCCAGAAATTCTTACACCGCAGCCCCAGTTTTCAATCAACATACTCTTCAATCTCCAACCATGCCATGTTTTTGCCACATGTAATCTTATTTTATAATAATCACAACCATATGAGGCAAATAATAATATTCTAATTTTTTTAAAGCAGGAACTAAAAGATTGAGATGACAATCGAGTTAAGATCAACAAAGAGTACTTCAACACTCCAACCCCGGAAGTGCTAGACATGCTCCCCAAGGACTTTAAGCCTGTGTATGGCGGAACCCCTCGGGCCCAAATCACTTCCTGTTACCACAGGAACAAGTAAACCTCCTCCCTGATACTAAGACACTGGCCAGGCGTGCTTATCTTTCCCTGACCTACTCTTATAAACCAAATTGTCAATTAAATATTAAGGTAAAATAAAGATGTTTTACACATAAAAGCTCTCAAAACATACTTATTGTGTACTCTTTTTCAGGAACCTATTGGCAGCTATGCATCAGTAAAGTGAAGAAGCACCTCAGGAAAAGGGAGCATAAGGGAAAATAAGGAGACATAAAGAAAAATGGAAAACATGAAAGAAAGAGATTGAGAGTTGTAACAATGAAAAAGGAAGATTGCACAGTGAGGCCTGAATAGAATGTGTAGGAGACAGCTACCTAGAATGGAGCATGACAGAAATCTTCACGGGACATTCCTCCAAGATCAGGAAATTTCTCAAATGCTTCAAGTGCCCGGAAATAAGAAGTTGAAAACGAAAGTTTGCTGGGAGTTCCATTGGTAAAATGTACATATTGAAAACAGTTAAAAAAATGAGACAGAGAAAAAGAGAGAGAATCAAACACACGTAACATGACAATATTTAATGCTTTTTTAAAAGGTAGAAAATTGAGTCACAGTAATTACATGCTTATCTGTATGTAACATTTACCAAATTATAATAATAAGTGCAAAATATCTAATCATATTTATAATATTACTGTATTGGAAGGATAAAAGGACAGATAAATTAACTTTGTATCTGGTGGACAGCAAAAAACAGACATCTATTATCTTCCAAAGTAGCAAGTCAATGCATATATAATGTCAAAATTCAAAAAGTAAAAAAGTAACAATGCAAGCTGTTATTTTGAGAAAATGCCAAAATATTCAGCCGAAAAGCTATAAAGGTACTATGTCAATGAAAGGGAAATGGGAGATTGTCTATTTTTTTAAATAAATTTTGGAGAATAACTTTATTTTTTAAACTCTTGAGATAATTCACTGCGATAGAACTCAAACAAAAACAAAAGATAATAAATTGTTGTCTGCATGCTGTAATTACAGCTTTCTTTTATAATGTTTGAGAAAGAAAAATAAAACTTTTGATAGGTTTCAACTTATACCTTTTAATATTTTTCTTAACTTTTAATTTTTGTGGATATAAAGTAGTTGTACATGTTTAATTGGTACATGAGATATTTTGACACCGACATGCAAAGCGTAATAATCACATTACGGAAAATGGGGTATCCATCCCCTCAAGCATTTATCCTTTGTGTAAAAAATAATCCAATTTTACTCCTTCAGTTATTTTAAAATGTACAATTAAATTATTTTCACTATAGTCATCTTGTTGTGCTATTAAATACTAAGCATTGTTCATTTTTTCTATTTTTTGTACCCATTCACTATCCCCACCACCCCAACAACCCCCCAACTACCTTCCCCAGCCTCTGGTAACTGTATTTCTACTCTCCACCACCTTAACATAATGACCTATTCACTTAACATATTGCCCTCCAGTTCCAATTATGTTGTTGCAAATGGCAGGATTTCACTCTTTCATATGGCTGAATACCCTATTCTGTGATATTACTATAAGGCTTGCAAATACTATCTTATAGCTCATTATTTTAAACTAATGACAACACTGCTTGCATACACAAATGAACAAACACACAGAAGTAAAACTAATAAAAACTATACACTTTAACTTCATCCTCTTGTTTTTATGACTTTTAGTTATTTCTCCTGTCTTATTGTACTGTGTCTTAAAAAGTTGTACTTATATTTTTTATTGGTTCATTATTTAGTCTTTCTACTTCAGACGAGAGTGGTTTACACACCACAATTACAGTCTTATAATATTCTATCTTATAATATTCTATGTTTTTCTGTGTACTTTCTGTTACCAGTAAGTTTTGTGCCTTCAGATGATTTCTTATTGGTCATTGATATCCTTTTTTTTTTTTTTTTTTTTCAGATTGAATAGTTCCTTTTAGCATTTCTTATAGGACAGATCTGGTGTTGATGAAATCCCTCAGCTTTTGTTTGTCTGTGAAAGTCTAAAGGAAAATATCCTTCAAGCATGAAATATCCTTCATTCTTGAAGCATATTTTTGCCAGATATACTATTCAAGAGTGATTTTTTTTTCTTCAGCATTTTAATATGTCATGCCACTTCTCCTGGTCTGTAAGTTTCCCATTGAAAAGTTTGTCGCCAGATGTATTGGAGTTCCACTGTGTGTTATTTGTTTGTTTTCTCTTGTTGCTTTTAGGATCCTTGACTTTTGAGAATTTTATTATTAGATGCCTTGAGGTAGTCTTCTTTGGGTTAAATCTGCGTGGTGTTCTATAACCTTCTTATACTTGAATGTATATCTTTATCTAGGTTTGGGGTGTTCTACCTCTTTTTCTCTACCTCCACTTTAAGGCCAATAACTTAGATATTCCTTTTTGAGGCTATTTTCTAGATTTTGTAGGCACGCTTCATTTTTTTTTTTTTTGTCGTCTCTGACTGTGTGTTTTCAAATAGCATCTCTTTGAGTTCACTAATTCTTTTCTCTGCTTGATCAATTCTGCTGTTGAGAGAGTCTCATGCATTCTTTGGTATGTCAATCACATTTTTCAGCTCTAGAATTTCTGCTTAATTCTTTTTAGTTACTTCAATCTATTTGTTAAAGTTACCTGATAGATTGTGAATCCCTTCTCTGTGTTATTTTGAATTTCTTTGCATTTCCTCAAAACAGCTATTTTGAATTCTCTCCCTGAAAGATCGCATATCTCTGCTTCTCGAGAATTGGTCCCCAGTGCCTTGTTCAGTTCTTTGGGAGAGGTCATGCTTTCCTGGATGATCTTGATGTTTGCAGGTGTTCATTGGTATCTGCGTATTTAAGAGTTAGGTATTTACTGTAGCCTTCACAGTCTGGGCTTATTTGTGCTCATCCTTCCTGCAAAGACTTTTCAGGTATTTGAAAGAACATAAGTCCCAAGCCCAATATTGTTTTGTTTATTTGTTTGTTTGTTTTTGAGATGGAGTCTCACTCTGTCGCCCAGGCTGGAGTGCAGTGGCACGATCTCGGCTCACTACAAGCTCCACCTCCCAGGTTCTCACCATTCTCCTGCCTCAGCCTCCTGAGTAACTGGGACTACAGGTGCCTGCCACCACACCCAGCTCATTTTTTGTATTTTTAGTAGAGACGGGGTTTCACCGTGTTAGCCAGGATGGTCTCGATCTCCTGACCTCGTTATCTGCCTGCCTCAGCCTCCCAAAGTGCTGGGATGTTGTGGTTTTTACAGACTTGGAGAGGTACCAACTTGATCATGGATAAGATCTGGAAGAATTCTCTGGATTACCAGGCAGTGACTCTTGTTCTTTTCCCTTACTTTCTCCCAAACAAATGGAGTCTCTCTCTCTCTCTATTGCTCTCTCTCTCTCTCTCTCTCTCTCTCTCTCTCTCTCTGTGTGTGTGTGTGTGTGTGTGTGTGTGTGTGCTGAGCCACCTGGAACTGGGGCTGGGGTGACACAAGCACCCTTGTGTTCATCACCACTAGGACTGTGCTGATTCAGACCTGAAGCCAGCACAACACTGTGTCTCACCCAAGGCCTTTTATAACCACTACCTGGCTACCTCCTATGCTCACTCAAGGTCCTAGGGCTCTGCAATCAGCAGGTGGTAAATCTATCTAGGTCCCTTCTTTCAGAACAGCAAGTCCTTTCAGGCCCTCATGGGTCCAGAGATGCTATTTGGGAGCCAGGATTTAAGTCAAAAACCTAACAAATTTGCCTGATGTTCTATTCTATTGAGGCTAAGCTGGTACTCATACCACAATACGAAGTCCTTCCTGCTCTTCCCTCCCCATTCCACAGGCAGAGGAGCCTCTCTTCATGGCCTCCTTCATCATTGGCCCACAGGGGTTTTCTGCCAGGCCACCTTTGATGTCCACTTAAAGCCCAAGCTCTCTTAAGTCAGTTTGTGCTGAAAGCCCCCTGGCCTGGGACTCGCCCTTCAGGGTAGAAGGCTCCCCTCTGGCCCAGGGCAGGTCCAAAAATGCCATCCAAGAATCGAGTCCTAGAATCAGGGACCCCCTAGACCTGGCTTGGTGCTCTGCCCACCTATGGTCAGGCTGGTACTTAAGTGCAAAACAAAGTCCCCTTTGCTTTTCCTTCTGCTTTTCTCAAGCAGAAGGAGTTTTACCCCATAACCACTACATCTCGTAATCTGCTGAGTCTCACCTGAAGCTAACAAGTCTCAGAGGATCAGCCAAGATCCTTGATGACCTGGGTATCACAGTTGGTTATCCATGGCCCAAGGGCTCTTTAGTAAGCAGATAATCAATGCTGCCAAGGCTGTGTTCTCCCCTTCATGGCAGCAGGTTCCCTTCTGGCAAACAGTGTGTCTAAAAACGTTATCCAGGAGCTAGGGCCTGGAATAAGGGGGCCTCATGACTCTGCTCAGTGCCCTATTATACTGTGGCTGAGATGGTATCCAAGGTATAAGACAAAGTGTTCTTTATTCTTTGCTCTCCTCCCACTAAGCAGAATGAAGCAGTCACTTTTGTTGCTGTGAACTGCACTGCCTAGGGTTGGGGGAGGGGTAGCACAAGCACTCCCTTAGCCACTCTGGCTGATGTTTCCCTAGATCACATGCTACTCTGGTCCTCTGGCTCTGAGCCTAGCCCAGCACGAGGAGTTGCCTAGGAATTGCAGTCCTTCTGTTCTAAACTTCATTGAAAGTTTACCTAGGACACCACAGCACTTTGGCCCATGGTGGCGAGTCTTGCTGAGAAACTCAAGTTCTACCCGCTGTGATCAGCAATTCCCCTTTGGCTAGGACTGGTCCAAATGGCCCCCCTGTCTGTGGGCACTGGCTGAGCACAACACGGATTTTCTCCCCACTACAACAGAGCTATACTGAGTTTAATGTAAAGTCCCCCCGTCCTTGCATTCTCCATTCCCCAGTACACAGACTCTCTGTACTGCCCGGCTGATGCTGGGGGATGTGGATGGGGTGGCATCAAAGATTCAAGCCTGTTTCTCCTGCCCTCCTCAATACCTCTTTCGGCAATATGAAATTAAAACCATGTACTGTGATTACTCACCTGTCTTGTGGTTCTTGTGGCAGTACTTTTCTGTATGCAGATAGTTGTTAAAATTTGCTGTTCCTTAGGGGGCATGAAGGGTGTAGGCTTAATTTCTGCCACCTTCTTCCCTGCTTCCCTCATTTCCCTTTTGATTTTTGATGGTGATATTTCTTAAGCATTCACTCATATGACTACTGATTTATATTTGTGGGTGTATGTGAGTGTACTGTAAATCATATTTATTTTTACTCCAGATTCATTATCTTCAAATAATAGTAAATTTCACTGAGAGCAATAGCATGATCTCACTTTTTCCTGCAGGAAATTAGTGAAAGAATAAATGAAACTACACTCTGTTGTGGTAGGCAGGATTCTACAATAGTTCTCAGGATTCCCAGCATCTAATGTATCACACATCTTGTCCAGTTAATCATCAAATGTTTATCTGGGTGCTGCAGTGATGGCAGTTTGCAAATATAACTAAAGCCTCAAATCATTTGATTTTAAGATAGGGAGATTATCCTCACTGGGCTTGATTGGATCAGGTGAGCCCTTAAAAGAGAGAAGCCTCTTCCTGGTGAAAACGATTCTTCAAAGCCTTAATGATATTTGATGCAAAGCAGATTGTCTTCTGCTGGCTTAAAGATAGAAGGCAAGAAATGCTGATGGCGTCTATGAGCTCACAGAGGCCCCTGATGGTAGCCAGCAAGGAAATGAGGACCTCAGTTCTATAATTATAGACCGTGAATCCTGCCACAATCATCTGAGCTTCGAAGAAGAAACTAATCTTGATGAGAATACAGCCCTGGCAGGTCAACGCCTTGATTTAAGCCTTGTGAGTTGCTGAGCAGAGAAACCAGTGGCTGGATGTCTAACCCACAAAACTGTGAGAAAATAGAGGGGTGTTGTTTTAAGCCACTACATAGGTGGTAATTTGTTATACAGCAAATTAACAACTGAAAAACTCAAAAGTGTGTTGATATTTTTTGGAAAGACTATTTTCTTAAAATAAATATTAAGGAAATATATAATTTTGAGATCATAAGCCTTTATATACATAGATTATGTTTGAAGCCCTAATCTAGAAACTTTGTGAATAATTATATAGTGCACAACTTCATACTAGTGACTAGAAGACAAACTGTTAAGTAGAACAATTACAGTAACAGAGAGAACTGGTAATCTGGAACAGATGTGTTCATTGAGTTATTTATTGCTTTGAGAGTGCCAATGAAAGGCTCTGAGGCTGCTAATAAAAATAAACAAACATCAAACTAACTAAGGCCACGACGTAAGATTAAATCCCTGGGCTTTATTCAATGCTCAGACATAGAGAATGTGAAAATAGTCTTAGTAGGACTTCCTGATGGCGTTTGTTGCTTTTCGATTGCGTAAGAATATAAGGAAGGCTTGAGAAGATATTTTTAATCCTTGATACTTCTAATGTTAATTTCTGCAAAGTTTATGTCTGTTACAGATGTGATAAAAGACATTGGCTGTGAGGATCCTAAACTTGGGCATAATGTACAATTAAGAAACCCAATATTGGGCAATAAATGAGGAACTCTTTTAACCTAGTTTGGCTATTATGAAGTATCAAAAGCTGAGAATGTTCTAGAGAAAGCTTAGATATCCAACATTTGGAGTTAAACTGTATTCTCAAAGCAAATGAGTTTTTAGTAACAATGGACAAATGTTTCAGGATACTTGAACGCGGGGAACCTGGTGAACTCACAGTCTAGGTGAATTGCCTTTCTTCCAATTGTGCCAGGTGCAGTCTGACAGCCCTTAGTGGTAGCTCTTCGTGTAGGAGTGTCAGGATAAAATAGATCTTTGTGCTCGCCCTGATCACTAATAAAAGTATAGGAGAAAAGTAATTCCCTTAAGAATTGAAGTGTAAGACCCTGTAACAGAAGATGTAATAAAAGAGAAGAGTAGTTTAAAGAAGAGTCAATATTAAGAGCAGTACTCCTAAAAGGCACACTTTATTAAAAACACCAGTTACCAGACCAAAGACAGCCTTTACACTACTTGTATTACAGAAAGTAAAAGGTGAAAGAAGAGAAGCCAAGCTAAAGAAGATAAGCTAAGTATATGGAATCTTCAGTTCTGCAGAGGTTTCTGCAAATATGAGGCCAGAGATTGTTTTTTCTTCCATACACACTTTGTGTATGTGTGTGTGTGTGCACCTGCGTAGTTTGACTAACATTGCCTCCATTTCTTAACTTGTTAAAAATATCTACTTCCCGACGTCAGGAGATAACATGACTCACACCAGAACACCTGATTCATTCTCTAAGATTTTACTAATTACAGCTAGTGTGGAGGTGTCATCTTCGTGAAAGTATTCACGTCAAATCCAGAACTACCATCAACATGTCTCTCAGGCAGAGATGCCTGCTGCATAGGAATGCAATGAAGTTATCCTAGAAAGAAAATTGTAAAAGACTGATATAGAAAGAATCCTGAAGACATTTAATTTCCTGGTTCCACTCAACCTTAGTTTCACCCTTGCACTTCCTGGATACATGGACCAATAAATCTCATTTTGAACTTGAAGTAGTTTGCATTGACTTTCTGTCACGTATCACCAAAGAATACTGACTACTAGAGAGGATTTAATACAGCAATTGGTAGCTGTGACCATGGCTCTGCAGACTTGCAAGTAAAATACAAAATGTGTTTGTTTTTGGTGGTAGATCAGGGGAAGGGACTTTTAGCCAAATCCAAGGCACAGAAAGCTGAGAAAACTATAGGTGATCTAGAGAATCAAAAAGTATATCTGACTATTAATCTACTGTCGATTTTTTACAACATGTGAAAATATTGAGGCTCAAAATAAAACCAAGCTTCTTGTGGTTGCAGAATATCACGGAAAGCTTGGGAAAAGAAAAACGTGGAGGGGTCTGGTGCTCATAAGAGTAAATTTATGTCAGGTGAATGTTCCATCCTGTAGGCCACATGGTTTTGTGAAGCGCATGGCAATGCTATGTGTGTAGGGGTGCAGATGCCGGCTGGAGAGCAGAGGTCAAATAGCTGCACTTGGAAACTCATTTTATGGCTCCTCTTTATGCTATCTTCTATTATAGTAAGTGTGTAAATTGGTATTATACATTTTGAGAAGTAGAGAACTTGAGAAGTGCCCTTATTACATGATACTTGTAAATATAGAATGGTGTAAAAGAGTATTAGAAATATGAAAATATGGATATAAGGGCACTGAAACAAGTCCTGGGCCAGAACTGGGACCTGAACCCAGACCCAAGCAGAATAAAATAGATGACCATACCCACAGAACCAACTCTGATATATTTAAATTATTCTCCCAAACAAGTAGGCATGAAAGTGGGGGCATATTAGCTTAATGTTCTTTAAATACTTCTCCTTTCTGCTGGAGTTAAAAAAGTAAAGGGACAGAGTACCTATACTACACAGCCCAGTAATTGTTCTAATCCAGTTGAATCCAATAAAAGTTAGAAAGACAACAGTTCCAGAAGCCTCTCCAAAGCATAAGGGGCCTAAAGTGTTCTAAAGGGAGGATGAGCAATTCTGAAAATATCCACTATTCCCTAGAGTCAAAAAATACTTTTGTGTTTTTTTAAGATCAGGGCTTATTGTAGTATATTTATGAAAATCTACTGCAGGGTTAGAAAGCCTCAAAATGAACACTTCTGAATATTTATTTAAGAGGAATTTCAGATTGAGAGAATGAAGGGAATACAGCATTCTGAGAGTTAATGGCTGAGAAGTTTTCAGAACTGAACAAATTCATGACTGCTTATACACATAGGATCCTGAGCAGGAACGTTGAGCAATAGCTAATGCAAGAACAATAGAAGTGCCACAGAGTAAAGCTATGAACACAGTATACTATGGATTATGAAGTTATAGTAAATATAAATACAATATATAGAGCCATGTAGGTAGGCTCATGCATCTGGATAATGCTACCCTCCCAAAATCTATCCACACACCAATTTCTCAAATTCTTCTATTATCTTAGCTCAAATTATCAACTCTCTTCTATTTTTCTGCAACTGGTCTCTATGCCTACATTCCTGTTAACCATAAGCCTGTTTCCTATTCTACAACAAGAGTGATCTAGCTATTATACAAACATAATGGAACTCGCTTCTGTGATTCTACATTTGCTGGGATAAAACAGTGTTCACACAGCATACTAGAGCCTCCATCCCTGTCCACACTCATGTCCCTATTTATAGTATTTATACTTTAGATGTACTTAAGTACTATCGTTTCTTGCTGTCTAGACCACATGATCTCTTGCCTCTTACCCTTTTCAAATACTCTTGGCTGTGCCAGAGATGGGCACATACAGCATTCCCCCTCCCCTTCCCCCACAGACACACACACACACACACACACACACACACACTGAGAGCTGACTCTGCTCAGATATACCAAGAGGCTCATGGCAGAGTTGGCATGTGCTCTCCCATTGTTCTGATACTACCATGTGAATACACCTTTCATAACATTTATGGAAATCATAGAAGTGCCTGTTCCCCTGTTTAACTCTCTACTCTGAAGGCCTTTTGGGATATTGAGTCTTATATATTATTATTTCCTTTAATATTTTGAGTGGTTATCACATTCTACTACATGCTCAAGTATCATTGATTGCATGAGTTAACAAATAAATATACTTACTATATGTTTAAGCACCGACATCTACACCACACCTTAATGTATTCTGCAGGCATCATTAAAAGTTTAATCCAAATGATGTGAGAAAAACTCAGATATTGAAGCTTTTCTATTTTTCTGTTGCTGCTTTTACAGATAAAATATTAAATATGAGCAAATTACTTCACATTTTTGAGCCTCAGTTTATTGATATTCAAAATGCCTATGCTCACAAATATCTCACTCCTTTTTAGAATTAAATATGAAACATATGTGACAGTTACTATCATTCTGGCTGCCAAATTGTAAGGTGCAAATGAATATCATCCTTCGTTTTTGTTTCAGATGTATAGATTCTTCATATCTCTCTCATCTCTATGAAGAAATGTAATGAAGTAATATGGTAGGATATTTCTGCCGTAGCCTATAGCAGTAGGTCAGTCTTACATACCTTTAAAATTTGGCCTTTACAATACTTTTGTCCATATTTTATATTGGTTTCAATGGACTATAAACATCATAACTATTTAGCATAGAAATCCATTAGTCTTCTCTAAAGAAAAAATGAGTGGGTTGTTCTACTCTCCTGAAGAAAACAAAGTAATATAGATTGTTAATTCTGGAGCCCCTTTAGACTACTGAGTGTCTATGAATGAGGTAGGCAAATTACATAAAATTACATTTCTTTAGACATACTGAGTGCATCCTATGCCTGTCATATGTTTTTGCTTTCTGCTTATTTCCCTTGCATTTGCTTATTGCTCTTAAAAATGGATTCTGGGAGTTTTGAGGAACTAGACAAAGTTTAATAAAATAATAATAAATTAACTACAATATGTAGAATGCAATTAATTTCTTGTGGATTATTAGGGTGGTGACTGATACATGACAGCTTTCAAGACACACCTGACAATTTCATCCTCTATGTGTACTAGACCTTTTAATACTTTTAAAGGATACATTTTAAGGAAAAAAGTACCATCTTTCATACTAGTAAATAAATTAATTACAAATGTACCCATCAGTCTTCATTTTTAGCAGTATGTAATTTGACTAAATTCAAGCATTCTGTGCAAGAAATAGGGAGGCTTTTGTTTTTAAATGAAGGTGACCTGCCTGTTACATTTCTTTTTTTTTAATTTATTTCTTCTAAAAAAAAAAAAAAAAGAGATACACGTGCAAAACGTGCAGGTTTGTTACATAGGTATACGTGTGCCATGGTGGTTTGCCGCACCTATTGACCTGTCCTCTAAGTTCCCGCCCCTCATCCCACACCCTACCAGGCCCTGGAGTGTGTTGTTCCCCTCTCTGTGACCATGTGTTCTAAATGTTCACCTCCCACTTATAAGTGAGAACATGTGGTGTTTGGTTTTCTGTTCCTGTGTTTGTCTGCTGAGAATGATGGCCTCCAGCTTCTTCCATGTCCCTGTAAAGAATATAATCTCATTCGTTTTTATGGCTGCATAGCATTCCATGGTGTATATATACCACATTTTCTTTATCCTGTCTATCATTGATTGGCATTTGGGTTCATTCCATGTCTTTGCTATTGTAAACCGTGCTGCAATAAACATATGTGTGAATGTGTCTTTACCATAGAATAATTTATATTCCTTTAGGTATATACCCAGTAATGGGATTGCTGGGTCAAATGGTATTTCTGGCTGCGGAAATGTCTTTTTTTGAGAAATGTCTGTCCAGGTCCTTTGTTCTTACCACTCCTATTCAACATAGTATTGGAAGTTCTGGCCAGGGCAATCAGACAAGAGAAAATAATAAGGGGTATTTCTGGTTTTAGATCCTTGACGAATCGCCATACTCTCTTCCACAATGGTTGAACTAATTTACAGTCCCACCAACAGTGTAAAAGCGTTCCTACTTCTCCATAGCCTCACCAACATCTATTGTTTGCTGACTTTTTAATAATCAGCATTCTGATTGGCATGAGATGATATCTCATTGTGGTTTTGATTTGCATTTCTCTGATGATCAGTGATACTGAGCTTTTTTCATATGTTTGTTGGCTGCAGAAATGTCTTTTTTTGAGAAGTGTCTGTCCATATCCTTTGTTCTCACCACTCCTACTCAACATAGTATTGGAGGTTCTGTCCAGGGCAATCAGACAAGAGAAAAAAATAAAGGGTATTGATATGAGAAGAGAGGAAGTCAATTTGTCTCTGTTAGCAGATGACATGGTCTTAGATTTAGAAAACCCCATCCTCTCAGCCCCAAAACTTCTTGAACTGATAAGCAACTTCAGCAAAGGCTCAGGATACAAAATCAATGTGCAAAAATCACAAGCATTCCTTTACATGAACAATAGGCAAGCAGAGAGCCAAATCATAAATGAACTCCAATTCACAATCACTACAAAGAGAATAAAATACCTAGGAATACAGTTAACAAGGGATGTGAAGGACCTCTTCAAGGAGAACTACAAACCACTGCTCATGGAAAAAAGAGAGGACACAAACAAATGGAAAACATTCCATCCTTATGGATAGGAAGAATCAATATTGTGAAAATGGCCATACTGCCCAAAGTAATTTATAGATCCAATGTTATTCCCATCAAACTACCATTGACATTCTTCACAGAAATAAAAAAAAAAGTATTTTAAATTTCATATGAAATCAAAGAAGACTCTGTATAGCCAAAACAGTCCTAAGCAATAAGAACAAAGCTGGAGGCATCACACTACCTGACTTTGAATTACACTACAAGGCTACAGTAACCAAAACAGCATGGAACCGGTATCAAAACAGACATATAGACCAATGGAGCAGAGCAGAGACCTCAGAAATAACACAAAACATCTACAACCATCTGATCTTCAACTATCCTGACAAAAACAAGCAATGGGGAAAGGATCTCCTATTTAGTAAATGGTACTGGGAAAACTGGCTAGCCATATGCAGAAAACTGAAACTGTACCCCTTCCTTACACCTTACACAAAAATCAACTTAAGATGGATTAAAGACTTAATGTAAAACCCAAAACCATAAAAACTGTAAAAGAAAACCTAAGCCATACCATTCAGTACATAGGCATGAGCAAAGACTTCATGACAAAAATGCCAAAAGCAATTGCAACAAAAGCCAAAATTGACAAATGGAATCTAATTAAACTAAAGATCTTGTGCACAGCGAAAGAAACTATCGTTGGAGTGAATAGACAACCTACAGAATGGGAGAAAAGTTTTGCAATCTACCCATCTGACAAAGGTTTAATATCCAGAATCTACAAGGAACTTAAACAAATTTACAAGAAAAATGAAACAACCCCATGAAAAAGTGCCTGTTACCTTTCAAATGATTCTTAGGTGGCAGCTTACTCACAAGAAAAGCCATGCCTGCAGCAGGTGTCGCACTATGTGATAAAGTGTCATGTCATGAAGATGAAAGATGAAGGCGACTAAGCATTTTGGATAATGATTCAAAAAAATCTGAAGAAACTCCGATAATCCCAAAGCACGAATACTTCTGAAAATAGTTTCAAAAATGTATGAAACTGTTGCTTCTGTATAATTTCAACACCTTTTGAAGTGACACAATCAAAGTGCACCATTCTCCCAGATTAAACATATTTTATTGATTTTTATCTTCAATGGAATGAATGCTATTGAGGTTTCATTTGTACGAGTTTGAAATACCTGGTTTAAAGTTACATTTTGGCACTGTGAACTTCTCCCAAGTGTACATTGATCAAGTTTTTTTCTTCCTTTTGATTTGCTGTTTTATCAAAGGAGCAGTCTGTTCTTTTGGTACTGCCAAAAATGTAGACTTTCTTTGCATGCAACGTTGATCATGAAAAGTTGAATTTAGTTAAACAAATTAAATTACACAAAAATTTGAGTAAATAACATCTGACTATAATAACTGGATGAAGTCTGTAGTATTAGGAGCAAGGAAATGATAGCCATCTGACTTGAGTTCTAGTTCACGTTTGGCTGCGTATCAGTCATATTTATTCTGAGTAAGTTCCTAAACTCTTCTAAAATGCTACTTTCCCATATGTCAAATTGAATAATCTGATCGTAACTCAACTATACATGAATAACAAAAAGTAACAAAGATAATATTGTTCTTAAAGTTTTGTTACAATAATTATAGTTTAAGTCCTTCGCCATTTCTCTTTTCTCTTTTGTCTAAAACTGCTTTAAATTTTAAAATATGACCTTCTAATCACTATGTTTAAATTTAAAGGTATTTATTATAACTGAACACATATTTTACATATTTTATTCTAATTTTGCCTTCTAATATTGCTCTACATATTTTCTTTCTTTAGTCCTTCCTTCCCTCCTTCCTCCCTCCTTCCCTCCCTCCCTCCCTTCCTTCCTTCATTCCTTCCTTCTTTCCTTCCTTCCTTCCCTCTTTCTGCTTTTAAAATTTTGAGTAGGTATATAAGTTATCATTTTTAGAATTTACATATATAAGAGTGTGTAGCCAAACATGTTAAGGTAGTGGTACTGTTGAATCCTACACACAAAAAAAGATCAGTTCCAGGATACAGGTAACTCCAGAGATTACTGCAATGATGCCAACATATGGAAAGAAGAAAAGAATCAGTGCATACAGCCGTGTCCTTGACTTCAGACACTAACTGAGGCCTCACAGTGTTGGCCAAGACATCAGAAGTCATCATTTTAACTCCTCAAATATCTCTGTATATCCAATGTGTAAGTAATGTGCCAGGAGATACACTGATAATCAAACAGATGTACTTTCTTCAATTACAGTGTTCATGGCTTTGCATATATCTCTATAGCATGAACTGTGTTATAATTGCTATTACTATTCCAAAAATTGGCTTTCTGTAGCAGATCATAAACTGCATACATGTCCATGCTTTTTGTATCAGTTTACTTTAAAGAAGTGTGCCTCTCACAATTGCTTGTATATAATATACACTCAAAGAAAATACATATGTTTTTAGTTAAAAATCTCTTGGCTCTAATTTATTGAGTGTAATGTCATCAAGAGTTGTTGTCTACTTCAGAATCTGTCCTCATTACATTTGCTAGTTCTCTGAATATTTTTTAACTTACACCTTATCTTCAGCATGTTTCTAATTAAGTTCTAAATCTGCTCCTTTTTTTACCCTTATTGAAAACTGTATCTCAAATCCATGCAGATGGCTTTGACTGCCAACACATAAGCAAAGCACCCACACCATGAGAAGTGTTCTGATCAGAGATTTTACCTGTCTCAGAGGCTTGGAAGAACCTGAAGCTGTTCACTGATGTTCTCCAAGACTACGTGTTTTGTTTTTTTTTTTTCCATCGAAAGGACTTACAAGTACTCAGACCCTTTGTGAGACAGCCCCTGTTCCTCACCAGAATGAGAGTTTGGAGAAAATGACTAATGACCCATCTCTCATATTAGGGTTATTTTATCCCATTAAGTAAATCCCTGCTTAAAGAGACTATTTGTCACAATGACATAATTTAATCACTTATATATGGTGAGGAGAAAAACTAGGAATTAGAGCAAGTGCTGAGAACATGAATCAATTTTTTCTCCATCTAGATGTAAATGTACTTTAAAGTATTCCTGTCTTCTCACCTAACTACTGTACTTACTGATAAACCATTTTCAGTCATTTGTGTCCATTAGCTAAAGCAATTCATTATATTAAAATTTTCACAATTATAAAATAATACTTTTTATATTTTTATTGAATTATTTTAAAATAATGCTAAATAAATTAAGTTACTATAATGAAATTATTAAATTAAAAAATGTAAAAGAAAACAATTTTATTCATAAATTATCCAAATGTTAATTCAATTTTATTCATGCTTAACAAGTTTGAATTGTTAATGACTGAAATAAATGTATGTGATAACTTAGTGTCTATATTTCTAATTAATTGGATAAATTAAATGGAGAGCTAGCATTTTGATTTTGGTTGTTAAAGTACCCATGTAGTCCTAAAGGATGTCATGAAGGATTCAACAGCAAATCTTAAGAGAGTGAAAGTAAATGATCTATGGAAAATAGCAGGAAATGTTCTTTGCAAGTAACTATTCGTAAACTAAGTACATAAACAGATTCAATACAAAAGTTTCAAGAACTAGAGTTAGAGTTTCAAGAATAAAGAAGAAAATAGTATCTAACATGGAGTATAATATTAATAATGCCCATGTTTAAATAAATGAGTCAATTATTGAGTAAATGTGGTCTTTCTCCTGGTTATTATCACGAAAGTATTATATTAACTAATGGTCTAGGTTTGCAACTAGGGATTTATTTCTGAAGTCCTTCCTATG
This sequence comes from Homo sapiens, assembly GCF_000001405.40. Lineage (NCBI taxonomy): Eukaryota > Metazoa > Chordata > Mammalia > Primates > Hominidae > Homo > Homo sapiens. The sequence goes on along the minus strand of NC_000013.11, from coordinate 89,677,742 downwards.
GTGAAACACCAAGTCTTTTTTTTTTTTCTTTCTTTCTTTCCCCTGAGAATAAAACTTTTAATGTTTCCGTGAGGTGTTATCTTTAAATATTTACATGAATAATATTATAAAATGAATTATTTTTACTCAATTTGGATAATGGAATTCCAGTGAAAACAGAGAAAGGAAATAACATATTGCCTTAAAATAAACATCTGTGATAGCAGCATCACAAAAAGAAGAATCAATGTAAATTTTAATATAGAACCCACTTTTCAGGGGGAGCCTTCTCTTCTACTAAGACTAGGTCCTATATTCCTGATATATATTTTCCAAGTATCTTGTACTTGTCCTTTGTAGAATTTATTGCAATTACAATAAATTGTATAATTATCTCTTTAATGTTTATCTTTCACAGGAAACTATTGGCTAGTTTCCTGTGAAAAGTCAGGGATCAGGTTTCTTTCATTCATTGCTCTATTCCTGGCACCTAGCCTTGTGCCTATACATAAGCAAACAGCCATATATGCAGACTTAAAAGGGCTATGTGACTTACCCAATATTACACAGTTAATAATTATCAAGGGTGAAACCTTTCTAATTCTTTTTTCTTTTCATTACTTCATGATGATAAAACTTTTTAAATGAACTCTACAGTAAAAAAAAAAAAAAAGTTGTGTGTGTGTATGTATGTATGTGTGTGTATATGTGTGTGTGTGTGTGTGTGTGTGTGTGTGTGTGTGTGTCCAGTAAAGAAACTCCCTCCAATTCTCCAAGAGTTCCATCTTTAACAGAGGATGAGGAAGATAAGTTTGTTCAGACCGATTGGTCTATGGCCTCATTGACATACCAATACATTCATTTTACAATGTAGACATTTATCTTTTCTTCCATTGAACTCTCACAAAACCATGCTTACACTGTGAAACAAATAAATAAATGTGACAGCTCTTTAGAATCAACCAGGTAAACATTCATGAAAAGAAAATCACAGCACTATGTGAAGAACACAGTGATTGTAATTATCTTAAAGGCAAGTCTCTATAAAGCAAGTTAAAAAGTGCTTGCCTCTATCTAGTCAAGTAAAAAATTATATAGGTAAACTTACACAGACATAAAGTTAAGCAGATTTTTTTCCGGAATTGAAATGTCAGGTTCTTTATAAAATGCACTAAATGACAAATTGAAATAGTAATAATACTAGTATTGATATGGCATTATTTCTTCAAAATGTAGATACTGCTACCAAAGACATCAGGGCCATGATGATGAGAAATATGGGAAATGCTACAAAAATTCATTAGTTTGAAAACAACCTTTTGAACTTCAGACTTACATTCAAAAAATTGCCACCCCAACATATTTTTATTAAAAAGAAAACTATATATGAGGCAATATAGATAGTAAACATAATTTTTAAAAAAATACATTTTATATGGCATATATAATTATAATGTGCAACAAATAGCGATTTTTAGAAATTAAACTGTGAATAAAATGGCTAGGTAACTTGCTCAATGTCACACAGTTAATAAATATCAAGGGTGAAACCATCCTAACGCTGTTTCATTTTCCCGTTATTATATGATGATAGAACTTTTCAAATGAACTTTCTAGAGTAAAAAAAAATATGCGGTCATGGCACATGTATACATATGTAACTAACCTGCACAATGTGCACATGTTCCCTAAAACTTAGAGTATAATAAAAAAAAAAAAAAAATAGAAACATTAACATTGCAGGGAAACCTATATATACTTGAAACCATATTCATTTACTTCATGCACTCAACCCATAAAAATTGCATGTCCACTGTGGGACTATTCTCTGTGTGACCTTGGACCAAACCAGTTCTTCCCCAATTCTCATTTGTAGGTCTCAGAAATAATTGTGCCATGTGGTGGGAATGCAACCTCCTGAGATAAAGAGAGACTGACTTAAACAGCCTGGGCTTTGTGCCAGTCCCACCTAGAAAGAGGATACCATTCAATGCTATAGCCCAATGATCCCTGTTATTCTCAGGGTATAAAATCCTAGGGCAGGCTGCTTTTGGGAATCCCTCAGCTGCAGTGCAAGGGACGGATACACAGAGATGAGATTCCATGTTCCCTATGCAGCTTACCTGAGCCCTGGAGGACCAACGTGTCATGAATCCCAGGTTTCTGTTGTCCTTTATTGCCTATCTGTGAGTAATACACCCACTTCGTGTAACTTGCTGTGTGTGTGAGTGTTCTGTCTCACTGGACTCGGGCAAGTAGTCATAGTTAACCTGCTTTGTACCTACCATGTCCCAGATCTCCTGGATATAGACAGAAATCTCTGATCTTACCAGAGCTTACAGTTTAGTATTCCAAATAAAGTTGCATTTGCTCTGAGAGATCACCTGAATCAGTTTTAAACAGCAAACAACTTTAGAATCATAACCTATAAGGCACAATTGAATTTTAACAAATTAGACATGTTTCTCCATGGTAAATACATTTCCAATCACATTTTTGCCATATGTAATAACATGCAGAAAACCAATATTTGATATTTAGGATATTCTATTTGCTGTTCTGTATTAAATGACAAAAGCCTTCACAATTATCTTTGCAGAAATGCATTATGAAATAGATGTTTGTCAGGTACAATTTTCATTTCTATTACTCTCATTTTTTGTTCTGATCCTTTTTCTGAATAGATATAAAGGTTGGGTATAACTTATCTGAAGTGTTTGAGAACAAAAATGTTTCTGTTTAAGAATTTTTTTGGATTTTGGAATATTTGCATGTACATAATGAGATATTTTGGGGACAGAACCCAAGGCTAAGCATGAAATTTATGTTTCATATGTACATTTTACACATAGCCTGAAGATAATTTAATATAATATTTCAAATAATGTTGTACATAAAACAATTTTTACTGGGTTTTGACTATGACTTATCACATGATGTCAGGCCCACTTATGAAGTCATTTTGATGATCTAAAAGTTTTGAATTTTGGATAATTTTTGGATTTCAGATTTTTGTATTAGGGACACTCAACTAACGTTATTGTGTATTTTACAACTGTAACTCATTATTTTACCTTTCTTTGGGAATAAACTTTAATGAATACTACTTTTTCTTGATAATTTGAAATATAGACTATCAATATATTATTTGATGAAGACCAACAATGATTTCTCAGCATACATTTTTCTTACAGTAACTATTATATATTCAGGATTAGTATATAAATATATTTATTTACAACAGGTTTTGTTCAGTTTTGGAATTCAAAACACTGATCTATTCTGTAATCACAAATTAAAATCGTATCCACAAAATACCTGCTCTACCAGGAAAAAAAATTGCCTCCTGGCTGAAAATAACTTGGTATTAATGTGTTACAAAATTGTATTATACTCACCAGTGCAAGCTGACCAAATCTTTTCAAACTACATTCACTAGGCACAAGGTCATTTATAATGCTCTCCATTAAGTAACCAAAGGGCAATTTTTTGATATTCTCCCCCATGTTTTAGTCTTTCTGACATAAATGACCCTTTGGAAGACAACTCTTTCCATCCACATGTGAAAAGTGCTGAATGTATCCTTTAGCTATTTAAATTGCTTTTAGCAGGTCAGGTCACCTCATTTAATAGTTTCACATTACTTTATTCGGTTTGCAACTCTTAGAAACAAAAATGTTTCACTCCAATTCTCCTTTTCAATGGAACTTAATATCGTATTGTTAGAAAAATGATTTTCTGGCAGGTGTTCCTCTTTCTCCTATTCTTCACTGTCCCAAGTGCTAGTTTTTAAATTAAATCTTGGATAAAACTGTAGAAATACAGGTTTTAAAGATGGCTAACGGCCAAACTCTTGTCCTTTTCCTACATGTTTTGATATTTCACAGGGATGTTTTCATATTAAATTAGTGCTATTCAATTAGCAAAATATATAGAACAATGATCATGGCAAGATTGCATTGAATACCTTCTAAAATCTGACAACATGAGTTGACATCCACGATGCAGACATTGCTTCCTGAGTGTTTCCTTCTCCTCTACACACTTAGGGAGTTTTGAGATAAATGTCTTCCACTTTAGGCTTTAAAATATTGTTACAACTCATCAGGAATTCCTTTGGGAAGTACCTCAGATCTGATATAAATACAGACCTCTAGAGGAATCCAGCTTACCTATATTAAATAAAATTTTCTGAAATCTCTCACTTCAGGGAGTATTTGGATCTTGCCTCAAGCACTCTGTTTACTTTCTACTTCTGATTTTCATTACCAACTTACCTTTTGTCTGCCAGTCACAAGCCTATACGGGGAGAAGATTCTGCTTTTAAAATTTTACTTTCCATTTTATTAAGAAAACAGTGAAGAGTGATGTAATAAAAATAATAAAGTAATAGATAATCTTTCATAATTTTATGTAAATTGGATGTGATACTCAAAGTTTCTCAAATTTGAACAATTATTTCCTTTTGTGATAGAAAATTTTATCTGGTTTATATTAAAGAGGATTTTAATAAGCGTCTACCAAATGCATCTTTTTAAATTAACATTATTAAAGACAATTTTTTTAAGAGCAGTTTTAGATTGACAGCAAAATTTAGGTTGGTTGGAGATTTCCCAAATACCCCTGCTCACACACATACATACTTTTCTCTATTATCAACCTCTGACACCAGAGTAGTATATTTGATACAATTGATGAAGCTACCTTGACACAACGTAATCACCCAAAGTCCATAGTTTACATTAGGATTCCCTCTGTGTTTGTAGTCTGCACATTTGGAAATGTAAAATAATTTACATTCCACACTATAGTATCATACAACATAGTTTCACCAACCTAAAAATCATTGGTGCTCCACCTCTTGACTCTATTCTCTCCTCTTATTTTCTATTTGGCAACCACTGATGTTTTTGCTGTCACATGTCTTTAAAAAATTATCTTTAGATAATTTCAACACAAGCTGTAACTAAGAAATCCGTAGAACACAAATTGGATGACAGCAGCAGTGGTTGACACTTTCATGCTATTTTTATTGCTTTATAAATAGTTTCTAAAATTCCATAAGTATATGTGTAAAACAGTACCAAAGATGTCCAGAAAAAAGACAAAGTATAGTGCTATAGTCTGTGAATAGTGAAAAGAAGACGGCGTTTGCATAAAGATGTATGGAATTGAAGGTAGTCTAAGGCTAATGCAAAAGACAACACATAAGGTCACTGGCTGGAGAAATGGTCTGCATGGGACTAGGATTCTCAGTGAAGCTGGAAGAAAAGAGGATATCAGATAAGCTCCAGGAATATGAGATTTGTACTGCAAAAGAAAAAAATATATATTTATGACACTTGTTAAAGAAACGTAAGACAAGGGGGGTCCTACAATGGGGTTTCACAGTAGGGGAGAGAGAATTGGCTCAACTGTGAATACAGCATGAACAAGTGGAAATGTATAGCCAAGGAACAGAGTGGGAGTGGGGTGGATGGAAAGTTACTAAGAGGAGACAACTGGAATAAGGGAGGATTCTAGCTAAATTAACCTCCAAGGAATTTTGCAGAAGGAAAGCCAGGGTGATCAGACCTCATCTGGGGAAAAATGGAGGATGAAGAACATGATCTACATTGAGGGTGATCAGATATCAAGAATAGGTAATGATTTGGGGTAAAATAACTCAGCAGGACACTTGCTGAAGCTAAACAATACAAAGATAAATCTGGAAACTCAAAAGTCAAAGCCCAGTACAGAAGAGAGTTTCCCGGAGCCTGAGTAGAATTTGGTCAAGAAGAGAGTTTCCATCAGTATTGAGAAAGAATAGCAAGAAAAAATTTGCTCCTTCAAAATTTAATGGCCTGTCATATACTCAATCACAAATATATATATATACACACACACACACATCCTTAGCATTAGATTCTTTTGAGCTAACATAGCCCCTTTACACATCTAAAAATGTTTTGTCTTTTTTCACATATAATCAGGTTTTCTTTTAAAATAGCTTTTTGAAATGTTATTATTTATAAGTACAAGACCCTCTAAATCTTCCAATATAAAAGCTATTTCTGAAAATGGTTTGGGATAGATCTTGGGATGCTGTCCTATGTAAAAGAGAACTGTGTCAAGAATCAAGGTGAAGTCTTCACCCAGAAACAAAGTATCCCCACTCCTGAGGTTATAGCCTTTAGGTAGATACTAAGTATTAAATGTCATATTTAAACTGTATGACTTTCTGGTCTTTTTTTTTCTCTGTAGTAATCAATTTATTAATTTTATAAATAATTTTCAAGAGGCCTAGAATGTATAAACTGAGAAATATCCTTTTGTTTCTTCAGCTTTTTATTTTCAAGAGATTTACAAGACAGATGCAAAAATAGTGCAGAGAGTTCAGATATACCCTTCGCAGAACTTTCCGTGATGTAAATATGTTATATAATGTTGAATTAAAAACAAATCTAGACTTGGGTCAAGAGAGACTTTATTTGAAAAGGCTACTGCAATATAAAGAATGCTCTGAATAGAAGATCTGCATGTTGCTCAAGAGTTAGGCAAAAGGGTTTTTCTTTTGTAGAGAGGAGTAACCAAGGGTAAAAGAAACATGCATGGGGAGGTGAATTGAAAGGGTGCCATGACTGGAGAGTACATTAGCAAATGTTTTGTGCTCAAGCCCGTCTATTCTCCAGGAGTGGCCCTTTCAGAGGGGTCCTATGCTGGCTCAGGCTGAGAGTAGATGAATGTTCAGCAGTCTTGGGGAAAGAAAAAATCTTTTAACAAAGTTTGGTTAACAGACACTTTGTTCTAATTGGTCAGTAAGAACAAAACAATTTAGTTAATAATCTGAGGCAAAGAATGAGATTTTGGAGGCTCCGTGTCTGGCCTTGTCATAGGTAAACAAAGGGGTCATCTGTGAACCTTACTTAAGTCTTACCAGGAAGGGTGACTCTGCAAGGAGTCATTTTCCAGAACATGAAAGAATGGTGGTGCGATTCTTTATCCATAGCTGTTTTCCAGAATTACAGAGTTCATGTAAATTTCAACATTGTCAGTAACTATAGTATAACCGAAAAAAAGTAGTGTAAATCAATAAAAAAAGGGAGATTAGCATAAAAATTTAAACATAAGTTTTAAACACATGACACAGCTAGGCACCTAGTCATGATTTAACTGTTATCTTATTTGAATAAGAGGTAAGAAAATAATAACATAAAATTATAACATGACATGGTAATATTCTTATTTTCTATAGATATTGAGTCAAATTCTAAAACCAGCATTTTGCTAGACAATGGTAATAAAAGTATTAAAACTTCTTTCCTCATTGGCCTGATGGACTACTTTTATCCTAAATGGCAAACTGTGTTTTGACTTATATTTCTAATGTGTATTTAATGGAGTACTCAGCGTTCTATTAGAGATGAAAATACTTTTTATTGATTTACACACACCATGGCATTTTTCTTTCCACAAATGATAAATGACACAAAGTTCAATGAAAAGTAAACATTTAATATATCATCACTTTACTCTCCAGCTTCCTTTCCTTAACATGGAAACTCCCCTGAATTTATATAATTGGAGCTTATTAATGTTGCCATGCAAGTGGCACTTAATTAAGGGCAAAATGGTACGCCCTTTATTTCAATGAAGGAAAATAATCTTACTAGAACTCTGTGTCCTCTGAAAGTAATTGGCACAAATAAAGATATGATTGACAATTGTTAGTAAAGTTAGTATTACATAGAAGAAAAATAATAAATATATTGTCTTTAAAATCTTGGCAGGGCGTGGTGGCTCGCGCCTGTAATCCCAGCACTGTGGGAGGCTGAGGCAGGCAGATTGCCTGAACTTAGGAGTTTGAGACCAGCCTGGGCAACATGGTGAAACCCCGTCTCTACCAAAAAATACAAAAATAAGCCAGGGGTGGTGGCAGGCACCTGTAGTTCCAGCTATTCAGGGGGTGGAGGCAGGAGAATTGCTTGAACCCGGGAGGCAGAGGCTGCAGTGAGCCAAGATCATGTCTCTGCACTCCAGCCTGGGTGACAGAGCAAGACCCCATCTCAAAAAAAAAAAAAAAAAAAAAAAAAAAAAATTATACATTGGTTTATCTCATCAAGTATGTAATTTGGACTATAAAGTTTAACAGAAAAACAAAAATGTTAATTTAATTTATATTCATTTTCCCAAAAACAAATATAATTAAAATACATGGAGACTTTTTCTCCTTGTTTAAATCAATAAATAAGTTTTATACAACTTGCTAAAAGTAATTTTCAGTTTGGTGTGGTGGCTCGTGCCTGTAATACCAGCACTTTGAGAGGCTGAGGCAGGTAGATCACTTGAGGTCAGGAGTTCGAAACCAGCCCAAGCAACATGGTGAAACCCCATCTCGACTAAGAATACAAAAATTGGCCCAGTGTGGTGGTGCATGCCCGCGGACCGAGCTCCTTGGGAGGCTAAGGCAGGAGAATCACTTGAACCAGGAGGCAGAGGTTGCAGTGAGCAGAGATCATGCCACTGCACTCCAGACTGGGTGACAAAGTGGGACTCTGTCTCAAAATAAACAAATAAATAAAATAAAATAAAAGTAAATTTGAGCTTGAGGTTTTATAACTTCAATTCCAATCATATGTTACGGATGGGACTTTTTTAGGATTTTCGAATATGACAGTAATAAAAAATATTGAGAGGGGGAAGCACAGAAATGTCAGAGTTTCTAGTTTTCTTAGTTTGTTCAGAGAACCTTGATTAAAAAGGAGTTGAATGACTTGATTGTGCCTTCTTGTGGGCTAAGATCAAGGCAGATCTCAGCTTTATGAGGCTTGAAGTTTTTGCTGGGATTACAAGTGTGAGCCACCACACCCCACTGCAGTCAAAGTATTTTTAACCAAAGATAAAATTCTCATAATTATAATCCTGAAGTCTACATCAAAATCTTCTTGTAGCCTGATAGATGTACTCCCCAAATCATTTTTCCTTTTTTTTAATGGAAATTTGGTCTTGTGGCTAATTTGAGGCCAATAAAATTTAATTAGAAATGATATGTGTAACTTTCATGACATGTACACATTAAAGGAAAGCCACTTGGATAAATGTGGGAAAAATTAACAGACATTTCACAAAGACAGTACTTATTCATATATACATTTTAGAAATGTTATTCAGAAAAACTAAATTTTCTCCATATATTTCTTACATACATTGTAAATATACATATTTATGCTATTGTTGCAAATATGTGTCTTTTTTACCATGTTTTCTAGTCACTTTTTGCAAAAACCAAGGAAATGAATTATTTTTAATATCACATATCCAAAAAACGATTATTTCTTATTATTCTATTATTATTCTAGTAATTCAGTTTTAGATTTTACTTTGGATTTTCTATGAACAAAATTACATCATTAGAAGTTAATGCTAATTTTGTTTGTTTTTTCTTCTTATACCTTTTCTAAAAATTTAACCTAGTAAATCTGGAAGATCCTCTTATATCTTTTATTTTTTGGCTTACTTCAGCACAGGCTAGAATATTCATTTAGAAACTGGGATGCTGGAAATAGATCTTATTAAAAAATCATTTATAGTTTCTCTTTGTTTTTTTTTTTTTTTTTGAGATGGAGTTTTGCTCTCGTCATCCAAGCTGGAGTGCAGTGGCGCGATCTCGGATCACTGCACCTCCACCTCCCACGTTCAAGGGAATCTCCTGCCTCAGACTCCTGAGTAGCTGGGATTACAGGCACCTGCCACCACACCCACCTAATTTTTTGTATTTTTAGTAGAGACGGGGTTTTGCCATGTTGGCCAGGCTGGTCTTGAACTCCTGACTTTGTGATCCACCCGCCTCGGCCTCCCAACATTTATAGCTTTGGGGGCTCAGCAAGTGATGCCCCAAATTTCCCAAAGGAAATTTAACATACTGAGAGGCCTTATAAGCTGCCTCAGAATAAAGGTCCCTCTATCCTTGTCTTGTTCTCGTCTTTCCCAAGCAATGAGATGGTGCTAGGACATCCTCCCTAGGGATCTTGTGAAATAACAAGGAAACATCAATGACTAGAGAAGAGAAGAGACTAGGAATCATCATCACACTCAGACAGAATTCTCATCCAAGAACAATTCCAAAAAGTAACCTCAGAAACATTATCTTCTTAATAGGACAACCATTGTTCCTGTGAACCATTGCCTGAGCATTGGACCCATTTATTCCTTTATTTTTCTGGCTCTTGTGAAGAAAGCATTTGAGCTTTAATCACCTGGTCCATCTTTGAGTTCATATTTTGAATGATACTTATGGACACATGTGCATGTAATAGTGATAACTTTGTTATGTTTTTCCCTGGTTAATCTCTTTTTTGTTATAGGGGTGTAGGCTGTAAACTTTTACAATGGGGAGAGAAGGGATCACACCCTCTCAGCCCCCATAGTTCTAGAAACAAAGGTAGGACGACTGAGACACCTGACTTGCTTCCAAGCCTACAATTGAGGACCTAGGACAACTGACAAAAAGCTGACAAAGAAAGATAAGAATTTTTACCAAGTTTAGCTCTCCTGGATCTCTACCTGGAGTACCTGATGGAGAATGGAAGGTAAACATTTCTCTTTATCCCTTTCTCCCTAAATTCAGGTTGGCAGGAGAAAATCATTTGTTTAGGTTGTGACTCTTGTGTAAGTTTGGTTTGGAAGACCTATTTATAATTATCTTTCTCCTTTTCATGGGCAGTTATTTCTTTCCTGTCTGTCTTGTTTTGTGTCCTGAGATCTTAGCTTGGCCTGCTGCCTGTCGGGGTCATGCAGGTTGTTGGGTCATGCAGATGGTCAACTGAAAGAGGTTGAGGCCCACATATAAAACTAACATATCAACTTGCCAGCTCTAAAAACATTGTCTAAATATTTCTCTTTTTTAACTTTTATTTTAAGTTTGGGGTAAAAATGCAGGTTTGTTACATAAGTAAACTTGTGTCACGGGAGTTTCTTGTACTGATTATTTCTTCACTCGAGTATTAAGCCTAGTACCCATTTAGTTATTTTTCCTGATTCCCTCCTTCCAGCCTCCACCCTCTGAAAAGCCCCACTGTGTGTTGTTCCTTTGTATGTGTCCATGTGTTCTCATCCTTTAGCTCCCACTCATAAGTAAGGACATGTAGTATTTGGTTTTTCTGTTCCTCTTTCAGTTTGCTAAGGATAGTGGCCTTAGCTCCATCCATGTTCCTGCAAAAAACATGATCTCATTCTTTTTCATGGCTGCATGGTATTCTACAGTGTATATGTACCACATTTTCTTTATCCAATCTATTGTTGATGGTCATTTAGGTTGATTCTATGTCTTTGCTATTGTGAGTAGTACTTCAATGAATATACACATGCATGTGTCTTTGCAATAGAATGATTTGTATTCCTTTGGGTATATCCCCAGTAATGGGATTGCTGGTCAAATGGTATTTCTGTCTTTAGGTCTTTGAGGAATTGCTACACTGTCTTCCACAATGGCTGAACTAATTTACATTCTAATTGCAGTGGATAAGTGTTCCTTTTTCTCTTTTTTTTTCTTCCTTGTCTTTGGGAGTGGCTCTGCACCTTGTGAGGACTGCTTCTTTGTCTCTGTTTGGAGATGGCTTGTGCTTCCTTGGTTAAGTCGCAAAAGACTCATTTGGTAGATTTCTTTGTTTGTTTTTTTAGAACAACAAAAAAAGCCAAAACATCAGGAATAATATTTTTTCTTTGTCCTAGCTGTAATCTGATGAAAAGAGATTTTTAAAAGATTTTTTTAATGAGCTCTGTGGTCAATAGTTGGCTAAATTAAAAGCTACTTTAGATCTCAAATATACATATATATATATATATATATATATATATATATATATATATATATATATAAAAATATAAAATGTCTTTGTGCTTTTTCTCTTTTGAATCCTATTTCCCCCATGGGATTTTTTTCAGGTGACAGAAACCCTTTATTAAAAATTATATGTTCTGTTCTCCGAGGGTATGCTTCTTATTAGCATGATATTTTGCTGAGAAAAATGTCAAACTTCATTGACCTTTTTGGGAAGCTTACGGTCTTCCCAAACTGGCTCCTCTAGGAAGTCCTTTCTTCCATTTACTTCTTCTCTCTCTTTTTTCATTTTCGATCTTTATCCAGTTCTCTTAATCATTGATATATTCCCCTTCAAGTCCATACCTCTTCCATTTGGCAGTCAGTGGACAAAAAATCACTAAAAGAAAGCATCAGAGTTCTGGCTGTCACATAAAGAGAACTAAGAGAGAGACTTCTAGCCACTGAGACCGGTTGAACCGCACAGCCAAGGCACCAGACACCCCTGTGTCTGGAATTAGTTCCTTCCAGTGGGTTCTTAGTCTCGCTGACTTTAAGAATGAAGGCGCAGACACTCGCAGTGAGTGTTATAGTTCTCAACGATGGTGTGTCCGGAGTTTGTTCCTACAGATGTTCAGATGTGTCCGAAGTTTCTTCCTTCCAGTGGGTTCGTGGTCTCACTGACTTCAGAAGTGAAGCCACAGAACTTCACAGTGAGTGTTAGAGCTCTTAAAGGTGGCACGTCCGGAGTTGTTTGTTCCTCCCAGTGGGTCTGTGGTCTTGTTGACTTCAGGAGTGAAGCTGCAGACCCTCCGGTGAGTGTTACAGCTTATAAAGGCAGTGTGGACCCAAAGAGTGAGCAGCAGCAAGATTTATTGTGAAGAGTGAAAGACTAAAGCTTTCACAGTGTGGAAGGGGACCCGAACAGGTTGCCCCTGCTGGCTCTGATGGCCAGCTTTTATTCCCTTATTTGGCTGGCCCACATCCTGCAGATTGGTCCATTTTACAGAGTGCTGATTGGTCCATTTTACAGAGCGTTGATTGGTGCATTTTTACAGAGTGCTGATTGGTGCATTTTGAAACCTTTAGCTAGACACAGAGCGCTGATTGCTGAGTTTTTACAGAGTGCTGATTGGTGTATTTACAGACCTTTAGCTAGACACAGTGTCGATTGGTGCGTTTTTACAGAGTGCTGATTGGTGCATTTACAATCCTCTAGCTAGACAGAAAAGTTCTCCAAGTCCCCAGTCGACCCAGGAAGTCCAGCTGGCTTCACCTCTCACCCCCACTTTGGGATCATCTGTCTTGCTCATGGAACCTCAGAAGTCATGGGTGGGTTCTACTTAGGTCTGAAGCTCTGCTTTCTTTTACAATAAATGCCCCAATCTCTCCAGCTTTAGGGGAGTACCAAGAATTATTTTAAACTGTACGAAAGCAATTGACCTTTGTGTATGTACTAACTAATGGGCTATTGGCAAAGGTGTGATGTTAAAGGGAATTCATAGTTGCTGCAATGACTGGCTATTACTGCAGGAAACAAATACTGGCTTTCTATCCTCCTCATTTATTTGCAAGTTTAGATAAGAAAATATTCTGATTTCTGACCAAGTCAAACAGAAACTGATGGTAAATGGCAATTTGGAATAAGTAAAATTGTTGGCTAGGTTTGTCTGTGAGGATCTGGGAGCTCCGGCCACGATATGATGATGAGTGTAGTTTGGACACGTGGAGACTGAGAGCACTCACTACTGAGGGATACAACTTCTGTGGGGTATGAGCTAATCATAGAGTGGGCCAGTTGGTGCTGGGTCATCCACTAGCCTCAGGGAATGTCCTTGCAGAGGTGCACTCTAAGAGTATTAAACAGCTCAGCCCCATGGTGTTTCCCTCTCTGCCTTTTGCCATGGATCTAAGGTACCTGGGATTCAGTGTAGGAATGGGATCTTAGATTTCGGGAGATCGAAGTGCTGTGGCTTCTGGCTGTGTCTGCCTTTTAAATGTGTCAGTATTGGCCCCAAGAAGCTGCAAATGCTTTGTTGGTCCTATTAGATAGCAGGCTCCACCCTGACCTCAGTGGTCCAGTTGGAAAAGGCAGACAAAATTGCAAGCTATCTATTAATATTAGACCAAAATTGGTCTCCTTATAAAATTATGTGGTGAATTCCTATGTTTGTTTCTTTGGTGTTCATTTTTAACCTTTCTTTGTTTTATGTCTAATTGACACACCTAATTGCTTGAGAAAGCTTTAATTTTCTCTCTGGGCTTTGAGATGTAAATATGCTATATTTTTTTTCTCTAAAACTTAATGAGGGCTTAGCCACGTGGGACAGATAAAGTTTAATTTGTTGCATTTACAGTGGCACCATTTTTATCTAACTGTGCTTTTAAACTAGTGAGTTTTATCTGCCTTACGGAAAAATTGTAAGATCAAAGCTACAAAATATTTATGTTTGTCCATATTTTTATGTATGTGTACTGTCTACATATCATCAAATCAACTTAAAAATAAATGAACTCTCATAAATTAATAAATCCAGATTCTTTTAAAGTTTACATGACTTTAGCAATTTTTGCTAAATAAAATTGAGATTGGGGACAGGCGCCCTAAATCACACCTGTAAGCCCAGCATTTTGGGAGGCTGAGGCGGGGGGCTGAGGGAGGAGAAGCGCTTGAACCAGTGAGCCAAGACGGCACCACTGCACGCCAGCCTAAGCAACAGAGTGGGACTCCCTCTCAAAAATAATAATAATAATAATAATAATAATAATAATAATAATAATAATAATACAAAAGGCCAATAGACTTTGAAAAAGACTGACCTGGTATCTTGTCCATTTCCTTTCAAAGTTGCTGTCCTTGAGGTAAGTAAAGAACATCAGTTTCTGACAGGCCCAGTAATGCCAAGATATTTTGGAGACCTCAAAAACTGATAAATTCACCCAATTCGTACAGGTATTACAGATATAGTCTGAGGGAAAGTCATATCCTTGGCTTGGCTCCTACGTTTCCAAAGGCTTTTTGAGAATCTAATATCAGATTCTTTATGAAAGGTTTTCAGCAACGCCAATAGAAAAAAGAACCTATGTGATAACTCACTATTCTTACTGCACGTTATGGAAATTATTAGGTCACATTAATAAGACAATTTATTTTACAAGTAAATTGGAAGTACTATGATTATCTTTGGTAAACATGGTGGGGCTAGGAGAGTAAATAATGTTTCAGAAGAAAAACTTAGTACACCTGTTGTTAGATCCTAGCACTGTTCATTGTAAATTTTTGTTATTTGCCTATAATTTAGACTGAATTCTGAATTCCTTCCTGATTGCAAGTCTCAAAACCAATGTTTCCAATTTTTTCTTCCATTATTCTGACTTAGACTCACTGAAATTGAAAATGCCTTTTTCCTAAGACCCTACAAACTGAATCAGTCAACTTGGCTTTGAAGAAACATCACCACAAGAGCCTATATTTGGAAAAACTTTGTACATGCAAAGCGCAAAGCAAAAAAAAATCTGTAAAATTGCCGTTTGTAATTTCAACTGACTGTTCTCCAGAGACTCTACAGAAACTCCAGAGATTAGCCATTATTTTTTGCATAAGTCATAAGAATCCACTCTAATAAGAAATATTCCTTATTAAAGATTTGTTCACTTGCATCATATATAGAGGCCTAACTTTGACAGCCAGTCTTCAGCACCATCTCCTGAAATGAGACATAACTGTATAATTGGACAGACATATTTCCAGAAATGGGAGACTGTGTTAATGAGATTCTTTGCTACTCAGCTACTAATTTTTCTCTCTACAGCTAACTCAGCTTTTCGTGTATGAGACTTCTAGGGAAATTTCATACAAGATAATGTTGGAGCTCAGAAAATGATACCCCAAGGACTGGTAGTTTGACATGTTGAGAGGCCTTTGAAGCTGCCTCAGAATCGAGGACCCTTTGTCCTTTGCTTGGCCTCATTCCTCGATCCCAGCCCCAAGTGGAGGGAGGGATTCTCTGGGATTTCTTTATCTAAGAAAGCTTATTTTGGGGAAAAAAATGCAATTATCTTGGGACCTTCTCTCTAGGGAACTCATCAAATAATTGGAAAAGATCAACTACCAGAGAAGAGAAGAGACTAGTAGTCACCACAGCACTCAGGTAAAATATTCTTGCATTCTTTGAGGGTAGATCCAAGAGAGTACCTAAGAAACTCTATCTTCATAGCAAGATGACCACTGTTCCTTGGAACCATTGTCTCAGCACTGGGCTTATTCATTCATCCCATTTTCCCCTCCCTTATGAAGAAGGTGTTTAAGCCTCAACCATCTGATTCCTCTTTTAGTTCATATTTTGTATGATACTTGTACACACATGTGCACATAGTAGTAATTATTTCCTTCATTAGAACGTTCATAACTTTTGTAGGTTTGTCAGTCTTTGTAGGGTAAGCCTCAACCAAACCTGTAAATTTATCAACAAAAACCAACAAATAGCAAAATTTTCCAGGGTTCTGAGGCATTATAGTAAAATCCAATTGCCAGTCTTCTCTAGGATATGTTCCTTTCCACTGAGTTTCTTGCCTAAAGGTGGCTTTTATGCCTTCTGGAGGCTTTGGATTATTTTTCAGGCAAGTAGAACAACGTTGAACTACAGTTTGTATTGTTTGTTGCAAATGAGGCCCAACAGGATAAGGCCGTGTCCAGCATAGAGTTGCCTCCTGTCCATAATGGGTGCTTTGACAAATTTGCTCAAGGATTGGTCTAATCAAAGCTTGTGGAAGGATAATTTTTCCTTCGTTATTTGTAAGGTATTTATGTCTGGCATGTTTAGAAAACCCCCATTCCTCAGCTCTTTTAAGATCAACCTCCAAATATTTGGGATGCTAGTTTTTCAACAAAGTGTAGGAACAAGAGCCAGCTAGGTAGTGGGCCCCTTGGCAATCTTTTTCACCTCTAGGTCAGCCTTAGTATTTCCTTATGCAACATTGGTGCCTGCCCTCTGGTGTCCTTGGCAGTGAACAATTACTATTTCCTTTGGCATTTTTACTGCACCTAATGATTCATGAATTTGAGAATCCTGCTTTATTTCTTTGTTATTTGAAGTAAGGAGGCCCCATTGCTTCCAAATTGCCCCATGAGCCTGGGCATATTTAGAGTCAGTGTAAACCTTTATTTGCTTTCCCTTACCCAGATGAACAGCTCTAGTTAGATCAATGAGCTCAGCCTTTCGAAAATGTCCCAGAGGGCAGGGCTTGCACCTCAATTACCTGCTCATTAATAACTACAGCATACCCAGCCTTTCTGACTCCTTGTTTGATGAAACTGCTTCTATCAATGAAGAATTTGTCAGGTTCCATCAATGGCAAATCTGTGAGGCCTGGTCTGCTGGAGTAAACTCGATCAATTATATAAATCCAGTAATGAACAGAAGGCTGGAGTTTCCCTGGTAGCAGTGGGGCAGGATTCATATAAAGAACTAGCCTTAAAAGTTACAATTGGGTTATCTAGAAGCATAGCTAGGTACTCTCCCAGTCAGCCTGCTGTCAACCAATAGCCCCGTTTTTGCTTGAGTAGAGGTAACACATAACACACAGTGTGCACTGTCATTTACTGCCCCAAGAAGAACTTTTCAGTTTACTGTAATAGATCACAGTTGGCAGCCACCACCCTGAGGCAGGTAGGCTAGCCGTTAGTTACCATATCAAGCTCTTTTAAAAAGTAGGCCACAGGACATTTCAAGGTTCCAAGACCTTGAGTTTGTACTCCAAGTCTAATTCCCTGTCTTTCTGGAACAAATAAATCAAAAGCTTTGCATAGGTTAGGGAGATACAGAGGAGGGGCTGTCATCAATTTCTCTTTCGTGATTAAAATTCTTTTTGACACTCCCCACTCCAAGAAGGGGGCTTCTTATCTACTCCTTTTAAAGCCTCATAGAGAGTTTTTGATATTAACCCAAAGTTAGGGATTCAAATTCAACAAAACTAGCAATCCTTAAAAAGTCACAGTTGTTTGTGGAGAGTCGGGACTGCCACCTGATTTATTGCCTCTCTTGAATCTGGGAGAAGATTGTGAGTATCCTGGGATATTTAGAATTCCAGTTACTGAAGTGTGGGAAGAGAGACCTGTGCCTTCTTTCTGGAAACTTAGTGCCATTTCCCTGTGAGGGAATTTCAAACTTTGATGGCATGGATAATGGAATCACCCTCTGTTTCACTGGCTATCAAAATATTATCTACATATTGCAAAATAGTTTCTTTATTGAGGGTTATTTCCCTCTAGTCTTTGGCTAAGATTTGTCCAAAAAGGGTGGGAGAGTTTTTAATTCCCTAGGGAAGCATGGTCTGACAATACTGACATTTAGTGTTAGAGTCCAATTTTTCCCACTCATTAAACACACAGTTCTTGGAACTCAGGGGCCAAGGAGATGCAGAAGAAAGCATCCTTTAAGTATATTACTGAGAACTAGGCAAAATTCCACAACAGGATGTTAAGAAGAGTGTAAGGGTTGGGTATCATGGGATAAATGTCTTCTATGATTTGATTTATTGCCCTTAGAGCTTAGAGAAAACAATATCCTTGGGTGTCAGGCTTCTGAACTGGCAAGACAGGAGTATTCTAAGGGGAATGACAGCATAAAAGGAGCCCATATTCTAAGAAAGCTGTGATCAAAGGTTGGAGCCCCCTTTGATCCTGGAGCTTTAGTGGATACTGTTTAATCTGGAGCAGAGTGTGTGTATGGTGTTGGGGGGTAACACCCAATTTTAACTAAACATGGATTGGTACCACATGGGCCCATTCAGGACACCCAGTGGCCCAGGCTTTATGGTTTACCTTCTCAAGGACTTCAGAGGGGAGGACCTGAGGAATAGTCAAAAGTGCGATTAAGTCCGCTTGCAAAGAACATGAATGTTCTGGAGGGACTTCAACATACACTTGTTTATTTAAGAAAGTCACCTGGGCCTGTAACTTGGAAGGAAGACTTTGTCCTAGTAATGGGAGTATACATTCTGGCATATAGACACAACTGTGGGTCAAAAAGAAGAATTTTTTCTTTTCTCTTTTTTTTTTTTTTTTTGAGATGGAGTCTCGCTTTGTCACCCAGGCTGGAGTGCTGTGGTGCAATCTCGGCTCACTGCAACCTCCGCCTCCTGGGTTCAAGTAGTTCTCCTGCCTCAGCCTCCAGAGTAGCTAGGATTACAGGCACATGCTACCATTGCTACCATGCCCGGCTACTTTTTTGTGTTTTTAGAAGAGACAGGATTTCACCATGCTGGCCAGGTTGGTCTTGAACTCCTGACCTTGTGATACACCCGCCTTGGCTTCCCAAAGTGCTAGGATTACAGGCATGAGCTACTGGGTCCAGCCTAATTTTCTATTGTATATTATAGAAGCTGAAAAAAATATTTTTGAGAGGATTCGCTAGACACTCCAGTGACTGTCATAAATTCCCTTCCAAGTTTAGTCAATTTAATAGTTAAAACTGAGTAAGTTGCTGTGGTGTCAATAAAAAAATCAATCAACTTATCACCCACTTTAACAGCTACCCTAGGCTCTTGGTGAGTGAAATTGATCATGGATTGGAATGTCTGAGTTGTTGAAGGAGGTTTAAGCTCATGGCATTCCAGGTATAGTCATTGAACCCAGCTACTTGCATTGGCCACCCCTTCTATTCAGTTTAGGACAATCTTTTTTCCAGTGTCTCCCTTTTGTGCAGTACACACATTTTTGTTTTCTTTCCCTAAGAGGGGTCTTTCTAAGATTTTCTTCCTTTGCCCTTTCTGAGAAGGCCCTTCTAGACTCAGCTAAGGCTGCTCCAAGGAACTTAGCCTGTGGTTTCATCTGCAATTTTCATTTTGTTGTTCCTTAGTCTGCTTTTAATCCAGAAAGACCTTGTATGCCACCTCAATTAATTGAGATATTGGCAATGTTCCGATGCCCTTTAATTTTTGCAATTAAGTTGAATATCAGGCATAGTCTGCCCAAAAAAAGTCATATTAATTAGCTTGTAATTCTCAGGACAATATGGATCTATACCCATGTATTTTTGATAAGCCTCCAAAATTCTTTCCAAAATGCTGATGTGTTCTCATTCATTCCTTGTCTAATTTTCTGCACCTTGCTTATGCTAAAAAAATTTTGGATTTTACCTTCATTCTCATTGTTCAGATTCCAGTTTGGATTGTGGAAGGGCACTACCATATTGGAATCAGTCCTCACCTGTTTATTCGGATCTTCTGCATGTAAATGGTCAGCCTCCTCCTAAGTATTTTCTAGCACTACATAACACTCATCATATATCAACAAGATGTTAAGGAGGCTGTGAACATTGGCCCATATAGTGTGATGAGTAGTGAATGTAGACTCAAAATGATCAGTTTCATGTTTTGGGTCATCCTTAGAAGCTGGATCATTCTGCTTCCAATTATGTAAGTCAGAGGTGATGAATGGGCTATATACTCACATCGTTCCAGCAGACTGTCCTTATTCAATTATACCCCCAATATGCACCTACCTTAGAGGAAATTTCCCTGCATAGGGGGTTAGTAGACCTCAGTCAAATTGTGTCCCTGATGGTTACAAGAGGGCGAGACCATTTCTTTAGAGTTCTTGGATGTCTTTTTGGTGAAAGGAGAGAATGGGAATAGAGGAAGGACCCAACAGAACTAGGGTAGGAGCCCCAGGTTCATAAAGGAGAAGACTAGCAAGAATCAGAAATAGGTTTTTCAGAGGTACGGGAGTCTCAGAGGTTGGAGCTACTGGAGAAGCTGAAGCCAACCTCAGGACAGCTGGCAGAGAGTGCTGAAGTGGCAGGACTGGGGTTTCAGAAGTTATATAGTAGCCCAGGCTTCCTAAACTAAGGGACTGTTATCTTAAGCTGGTAATATGGGAATCTTAGTGAAAAGCACAGACTCACCACCCTTCTTAAATGCCTTCATCCATTGCATCCAAATTTTACACTTAGCTTGATCAGGTTTGCTCTGATAAAGGAGCATAAAAGATTGGACTTAAGGAATTTCATTCCACATTTCCATTTGATAGCAAAATGAATCTATTGTAGTTGTAAGATAGTGTTATATTGTAAAGGCCAAGAGAGTGGCCAAATTTTTTCAGCTTCTAAAGAATATTGGTGCCAAACAGTATTACAAAAGATTGTCATTTTCCTTTGTTCCATTGGCTCATAACTATATTCAGGCCAATTTTGGAGAATTCACATGCAAGGAGGCCAAATTATGGAATGGAATTCTGATTTTCCATGACTATGTTAACTTTCTCTCTCTCTCTCTCTCTCTCTCTCTCCCCCTCTGCAGTAGATTGTATTTGAGTAATTGGAACGTATTATCAAAATACATTCTAACTACTCAAATACATTATTAAAATACATTGTAACTAATCAAATACAATCTAAGTACTGTAGTGGTAACTAACAGGCCCCAAGAATGTCAAACCTGAAATAGTCTGGGTGCTTTATCCCTTTCTCAGTCATTTGGGCTTGTATTAGTCCCTTCTCATGCTGCTAATAAAGGCATATGCAAGAGTGGTAACTTATAAAGGAAAGAGGTTTAATTGACTCACAGTTTAGCATGGCTGGGAGGCCTCAGGAAACTTGTAATCATGGCAGAAGGGGAAGGAAACACATCCTTTTTCATATGGTGGCAGAAAGGAGAAGAATGGGAACTGAGTGAAGGGGTAAGCCCCTTATAAAACCATCACTCCCGTGATTCAATTACCTCCCACCAAATCGCTACCAAGACACATGGGGTTTATGGAAACGGTAATTCAAGATGAGATTTGGGTGGGGACACAGCCAAACCATATCATTCCTCCCCTGGCTCCTCCCAAATCTCATGTCTCCACATTTCAAAACACAATCATGACTTTCCGACAGTCCCCCAAAGTCTTAGCTCAGTCCACCATTAACCCAAAAGTCCAAGTCCAAAGTTTCACCTGAAACAAGGCAAGTCCCTTTCCACCTACAAGCCTGTAAAATCAAAAGCAAGTTAGTTGCCATAGGGGCAACTAACCTACAAGCCTGTAAAATCAAAAGCAAGTTAGGGGCCATAGACCTGAGTTAATAAAACAGTACCAATATAACTGTGTAGCCCACATACACTGGGGCTACAAGCGTTGGGTAAATACACCCACTCCAAATGGGAGAAATTGGCCAAAATGAAGGGGCTACAGGCCCCATACAAGTATGAAATCCAGTGGGGCACTCAAATCTTAAAGCTATAAAATGATCTCGTTTGACTCCATGTCTGACATCCAGGTTATGCTGATGCAAGAGGTGAATTCCCATGGCCTTGGGCAGCTCTGCCACCGTGGCTTTGCAGGGTACAGCACATGTTCAACCTGCAGATGGAAATTCCTTTGGAATTGCCCAAATTGGGCAGAACATAACACATTGTCTGGCACCCTCAAAAGACACTCACCTGTACAGACACAGATGTCAGATTTCAAAGGCTGTTCTTCTAGGGAATTAGGAATACAGCTGGGACCAGCAGCAGCAAGATCAAGTAGAGAAAGACTAAAGCCAACCTCTGACCAAAAAAGGGTCAGATAGCTGCTTAGGAAGTCTTCTGAAACTCCTGACGACCTGCATCTGAGCCACAAGCAGTGTGTTCCCAGTCAGGAAACCAAAATCTACTACCGAAATACCATAGGTATTGTCCAGATCCTGCTGTTTGCCACACAGAAAGCCAATCATTGAGATAACAAGTACTGCCAAGGAAGAAGGCTTTAAGTGGACACTGCAGCCAAGGAGACAGGAGATCAAACTCAAATCCATCTCCTTCACCAACTAAAACTGGCATTTTATATAGCAGGGAATAAATGTAACTATGTGTGGGAAAACAGGATTTAGTGTGCGGTAATGAAGAGGATTTGGTCAACAAGAAGCAGACAGTCAGGTAGGAAAACAGAAATTTGAGAGGAGCAAGGAATCATGAGGTCTGGAATCTCATTGTCTGGATGCGGTGATTTGGTGAGTCTCAGTTTGTTTCTGCTTTGTGAGAGGCCCAAGGATTATTTCCTGAGGAAGGAACTCAGATTATACAAATGTAAGTTTTATGTTTTAAGACAAGAAGGGTCAATTTCTATATTCCCCCCACCTCCAAAAAATCTGTCTATGGACTACTGAATGGGTTTCATTTATAAGTTATGCTCACTTTATTTTCTTTTCCAGGTTGTCATAGAAAATCACCTGTGGGGCCATAGACCTGAGTTAATAAAACAGTACCAATGTAACAGGTAGAGGTGATGGGAGAATCTAGACCATTTATTCATACAATTTATATATGCCTTCTGGATCAGCTCAGGATGATGCCAAACACACAAAGCCTGACTTCATGTCTTGTGATTAGATGACTTCTATCTCTTGGATGATTTCATAGTCACCAGATATCATAAAATACTACGAAACTGTTTTTCACATGGAATGTAGTTCTCTGCTGTAGAAGTCATAGCGTCATTCAAGAATCATTAGGTTCTACACACATCTCTGGTTTGGACTTTGTAGAAAAACACAGAGCATTTTTATCTAGTACAGGAATCTTTAAAAATTTATATGTGGTGTCCTATAGCAAATATGGCAAAACCACTTTTATTCTATTCTAGACGTGTTGTAAATCCCGCTTTCCAGACCCCACCTGATAAATGGGTCACAGAACTCTTTTCAAGTATCATAAGTGCTGCTTCTAAAATCCAGAGTAACCTTTCATCACTTGTGCTTCCTTTTGAGTGGCAGGAGGTATGACATGCAAAACTCTTTCTCATGGTTTACGGTGTCAACATAAACAGCACACAGACAGAGGGGCTCACTAAAAGAAAATGATATTTATTTGAGATTGAGCATTGCAATGGTAACATGGTGGGCATATTTAGGGAAGTAAAGGAAGACAAGCGTTTTTCAAGTAAAGATTAAGGAAATTTACATAGTTTTGAGACAATTATCCTTGGCAGAATCATTATTTGTATAAATTTGTGGCTATCTTTGTGCAAGACAATAGTTTTTGCAGTCTTTTGTGATAGATCTTATTATCAGGCATATATGCATAAGAACCCTTTCTTGAGGGCCTTCCCTAGCTCCCTTTGTCAGGGTTTGACACAAGTGACTGGGTTTTGATTCTGACAGTTTTCACAAGGGAATGTCCTGACATGCTCCAGATCAGCTGATTCTTAAAACCTTCACCACTGTGGCAAGCCCTTGAATCATTTATTTTTGCCCATTGGAACCACTTGTGAAACTTTTGATACCAGAGCAAATCCCATGCTCTAGAGATTTTTACTTAACTGATTTGGATTGACCTATAGGTATTTTAGGGTTTTTAAAAAAGTTTCCCAGTTATTTCTAATGTACAGATAAGACATAAGGAACACTTTAATTAGATTCTTGGAGAATTGAGAATATATATTAGGACCAGAGATATAATTTATTAATTATCTATAATTATCTCTGTTCCCAGACTAGAAAATAGTACATTTCTATTTCAATTCAATTTATCATCCACTAAAGAACTAAGTAATTAATTTTAAACTCATTTATTAATAGGTTAATGGGGTTGACCCTTACAAAGTCAGGAACCTAAAAGGACATAGAGTTCTTGGTAAAACAGTTACACAATTTCCTCTATATGGATTTGAAGTTAAACATGGAAAGTGGGTTGGAGAAAACAAAGTACAAATATACATTTACATAAATACAATTTTAGTGTTTGCTGTATTCCTTAGGTTTTATAGCATTTGGCATTGGCTAGTTTGTTTTTAGTTTGTTACAAAGTCTCCAAAGTCTCAGTAATGTAGAAACCAAGCTAAATTCCATAATTAGATTCAACAAATATGTTTGCAAATAACTCAAGTAGTGTTGACAGTTAAAAAAAACAAGGTTAAATGTTTCCTTTTCAAGATGGTCACTCTAGGGAAAGCCAATTATAGATTTAAAAAGAGGACTGTTACTCATACTACTATAGTTACTATCAATAAGACAGTTTTCTATATTTTATTTTGGTTAAAAAAAGTAAGATCTTCCGTCATCATTTTTTATTTATTTATTTATTTATTTATTATTATTTTGAGTCGGAGCTGTCTCTGTCACCAGGCTGGAGTACAGTGGCAGGATCTCAGCTCACTGCAACTTCCACCTCCCAGGTTCAAGTGATTCTCCTGCCTCAGCCTCCTGAGTAGCTGAGACTACAGGCGCATGGCACCACGTCTAGCTAATTTTGTATTTTTAGTAGAGACAGGGTTTCACCATGTTGGCTAGGATGGTCTTGATCTCTTAACCTCGTAATCTGCATGCCTTGGCCTCCCAAAATGCTGGGATTACATGCGCGAGCCACCGCGCCCAGCCCTTCCCTCATCAAATTTTTAAGTACATAATGTAGTCTTGTTAATTCTAAGGACAATGTTGCACAGCTGATCTCAAGAACTCCTTCATCTGGTATAATGAAGACTTTCTATCCATTGAACAGCAACTTTTAATTTTCCTCCTCTCCCAGTCTCTGGCAACCACCATTCTACTTTCTATTACTGTGATTTTTGACAACTTTAATTACTTTATGTAAGTGCAATCATGCAATATTTTTAATTCTATGATTGGCTTATTTCACTTGGAGTAATGTTCTCTATGTTTATCTATGTTGTCACATATGACAGGATTTTCTTATTTTATCAGGCTGAGTAATATACTCCACTGTGTCTATATATGACATTCTTCTTCCATTCACCAATTGATGGACATTTATATTGCTTCCACAGCTTGAATAATGCTGCAACGAACATGGGAGTACAAATATCTCTTCAATTATTTCAATTATTTTAAATAAGCGCCTGGAAAGTGAGACTGATCAATCAAATTCTAGTTTTATTTTTAATTTTTTTGAGGAAGCTCTATACTGTTTCCATAGCAGCTGCACCATTTTACATTCCCAACACTGTAGAAGAGTTCCATTTTCTCAAAATTCTTGCCAACACTTTTCGTTTGTTTGGTTTTGTCTTCATTTTCATTTTGATACTGGCTATCCCAACAAACTTGAGTTTATATCTCATTTTGAATTTTATTTGCATTTTCCTGATAACTAGTGATGTTGGGTGTCTTTTAATATGCCTATTGGCCATTTGTTGTATATTTTCTTTGAAAAAAATGTCTTTTGTCCATATTTTACTCAGATTATTTTTATTTATTATTTTGCTACTGGGTTGTAGAAGGTTCCTGTATATTTTGGATATTAACACCTGATATGTTTTGACTCTGTGTCCCCACCCAAATCTCATCTTGAATTGTACTCCCATAATTTCCATGTGTTGTGGGAGGGACCTGGTGGGAGATAATTTAAATCATGGGGGCAGTTTCCCCCATACTGTTCTCATGGTACCGAATAAGTCTCACGAGATCTGACAGTTTTATCAGGGGTTTCCGCTTTTGCATCTTTCTCATTTTCTCTTGCTGCCTCCATGTAAGAAGTGCCTTTCACTTCCTGCTATGATTCTGAGGCCTCCCCAGAACTCTATGTTCAATTAAAGCTATTTTTCCTCCCAGTCTCGGGTATGTCTTTATCCAGCAGTGTGAAAGCAGACTAATGCAGTAAACTGTTACCAGTAGAGTGGGGTGTTGCTGAAAAGATACCCCAAAATGTGGAAGCAACTTTAAAACTGGTTAATAGGCAGAAGATGAAATGGTTTGGAGGGCTCAGAAGAAGACAGGAAAATGTGGGAAAGTTTGGAATCTCCCAGAGAATTGCTGAATGGCTTTGACAAAAATGCTGATAGTGATATAAACAATAAGGTCCAGGCTGAGGTGGTCTTAGATGGAGATGAGGAAATTTTAGGGAAGTGGAGCAAAGGTGATTCTTGTTATGTTTTTGCAAAGAGACTGGCTGCATTTCACCCCTGCCCTGGAGATTAGTGGAACTTTGAACTTGAGAGAGATAAGTTAGGGTATCTGGAGGAAAAAATTTCTAAGCAGCAAAGCATTTAAGAGGTGACCTGTATGCTGTTAAAAGCATTCCATTTTAAAAGGAAAATACGGCACAAAAGTTTGGAAAATTTGCAGCCTGACAATGCGATAGAAAAGAAAAACCCATTTTCTGAGTAGAAATTCAAGCCTGCTGCAGAAATTTGCATAAGTAGCCTGGAACCCAATGTTAATCCCCAAGACAATGGGCAAAATATCTCTAGGGCATGTCAGATGTCTTCACAGCAGCTCCTCCCATCACAGACCCGGAGGCCTAGGAGAAAATGGTATTGGGGGCCAGGCCCAGGTTCCCTGTGCTGTGTACAGCCTAGTGACTTGGTGCCCTGTATCCCAGCCACTCTAGCCATGGCTGAAAAGGTCCAAAGTAGAACTTGGGCTGTGGCTTCAGAGAGTGCAAGCCCCAAGCCTTGGCAGCTTCCACTTGGTGTTGAGCCCGTGAGTGCACAGAAGTCAAGAATTGAGGTTTGAGAACCTCCGCCTAGATTTCAAAAGATGTATGGAAATGCCTGGATGCCCAGGCAGAAGTTCGCTGCAGGGACGGGGCACTCATGGAGAAACTCTGCTAGGGCAGTGCAAAAGGTAAATGTGGAGTTGGAGCCCCGACGCAGAGTCCCTACTGCAGCACTGCCTAGTGGAGCTGTGACAAGAGGGCCACTGTCATCCAGATCCTAGAATGATAGATCCACCACCAACAGCTTGCACTGTGTGCCTGGAAAAGCTGCAGACACTCAACGCCAGCCCATGGAAGCAGCCAGGAGGCTGGCTGTACTCTGCAAAGCCACAGGGGCAGAGCTGCCCAGGACCATGGGAATTCACCTCCTGCATCAGCATGACCCAAATGAGAGACATGGCATCAAATGAGATCATTTTGGAGCTTTAAGATTTGACTGCCGTGCTGGATTTTGGACTTGCTTGGGGCTGGTAGCCCTTTGTTTTGGACAATTTCCCTCATTTGGAATGGTTGTATTTATCCAATGCCTGTACCCCCATTGTATGTAGAAAGTAACTAACTTGTTTGCATTTTAGATGCTCATAGGTGGAAGGGACTTGCCTTGTCTCAGATAAGACTTTGAACTGTGGACTTTTGAGTTAATGCTGAAATGACTTAAGACTTTAGGGGATTGTTGGGAATGTATGATTGGTTTTGAAATGTGAGGACATGAGATTTGGAGGGGCCAGGGATGGAATGATATGGTTTAGTTCTATGTCCCCACCTAAATCTCATTTTTAATTGTACTCCCATAATTCCTGTGTGTTGTGGGAGGGACCTGGCGGGATATAATTTGAATCATGGAGGTGGTTTTCCCCACACTGTTCTAGTGGTAGTGAATAAGTCTCACGAGATCTGATGGTTTTATCAGGCGTTTCTGCTTTTGCATCTCTCTCATTTTCTCTTGCCATTACCATGTAAGAACTGCCTTTTGCCTCCTGCCATGACTCTGAAGCCTCCTCAGCCACGTGGAACTGTAAGTTCAATTAAACCTGTTTTTCTTCCCAGTGTCAGGTATGTCTTTATCAGCAATGTGATACAACACCTGAAGTGGACTAATACACCACCTCATCAGACATGGTTTGCAATTTTTTTTTTCTTATTGTGTAGGTTGCCATTTCAGTCTGTTGATTGTTTCCTTTGGTGGCAATAAATTTGTTTATTTTTAGTTTGATGTAGTTGGACCCTGTTTTTCCTTTCATTCCCTGTGCTTTTTTGTGTGTGTCATATCCACGAAATCATTACTAAGACCTATATCATAAAGGTTTTCTCTATATTTTCTTCTAAGAGTTTTATACTTCAGGTTTTAAGTCTTTAATCTAAATTGGGTTGAATTTTGTCTATGAGTTAAGACAAAAGTCTGGTTCCATTCTTTTGCATGTGGATATCCAGTTTTGTCAGCACCATTTAATGAAGAGTTCATACTTTCCCCATTATGTATTCTAGGTACTTTGTCTAAGAACAGTTAACCACATATTCATGAATTTATTTCTGGACTCTATTATTTTCCACTGGTTTATCCATGTTTTCGTGCCAGTACCAGATTGTTTTAATTACTGTAGTTTTAAAGTACGTTTTGAAATTGTTACTGACAGTGAGTCACAGTGATCCACAGGAACTTGATTCTTGCCTTCTCAGAGAAAAGAATTCAGCTAAGGAGGCCAAGGTAGGTTGAAGGCAAAGATAAAGGTTTATCATGAAAAAAGGAAAAGTACACTCGGAAGAGGGCCAAGCAGACCACTTAAGGGGTCAAGTGCATCACCCAGGATTTGCCTTGGGATTTTTATATGTTGACTTAATTTCAGAGTTTGTGTTTCTTCTTTTATGATCCCTCCATTGGACCAGGCTGTCTGCACGTGCAGTGGCTTGCCAGCACTTGGGAGGGGCTGCATTTGCAGTGTATTTACTGAGTTGTGGAAATTTTCTCTTATCAGTTGAGTGTCTCCAGAGGAAGGTCATGTATCAGTCAAACTCCATCATTTTTTTTTTTCTTTTAGAGTGCCTGCTTAGGTGCACTTGCCCAACTTTTAAGATTTCACCAGGGAGCTGTGGCCCCCATGCCTCAAATGTTTCCTGTAGGTCAGGCAGCTCTTCTTCTTTGATTCTAGCTATAACCACTTAGAAGGCTGCTTGTCAATTGCCTTACTATCACCTGACAGTCACCTGACATTTCTAGGGCCTCACCCTTCCTTGCTCATGTCTGCCTAACTACCTCCTTTAACAAAATCAGAAAGTGTAAAATGATCAGCTTTGTTTTTTCCTCTCATGACTCTTTTAGATATTTGGAGTCCTCTGTGGTTTCATATAAGTATTAGATTAGGTTTTCTATTGCCATAAAAATTCCGTTGGGATTTTGATAGGAGTTGCATTGAATCTATAGATTGCTTTTGATAGTGTGGACTTTTTTTTAATAATATTAAGTCTTCCAATTCATGATTATGAGATTCTTGTCATTTATTTATCTTTTCTATAATTTATTTAATCAGTGTTTTGTAATTTTTAGTAAAAGTATTTTGCCTCTTTGGTTAAGTTTATTCCTAAGCATTTTATCCTTTTCAATGCTGTCGTAAATGAATTATTTTCCTTTTCAGATAGCTTGTTTCTAGTTTATGGAAATCCAATTGATTTTTGTATGTTTTTTTTATCCTGAAACTTTACTAAATTTATTAGTTCTAACAGTTTATTTTAGTAGAGTCTTAGAGTTTTCTACATATATGACTATGCTATTTGCAAAAATGATCACATTTTACCTCTTCCTTTCTGATTTGGATGTCTTTTGTTTCTGTTCTTGCCTAATTGTTCTGTCTAGGACTTCCAGTATCATAATGAGCAGAAATGGTGAGAGCAGGAATCCTTGCCTTATTCCTGATCTTAAAAAGAAAGCTTTTTATTTTTGTTTTACCTTTGAGCAAAATGTTAGCTAAGGGCTTTTCATATATGGCCTTTTGCATTGGCATAATATGATTCTTTAATGTGCTGCTGAATTTGGTTTGTTAGCATTTTGTTGAAGACTTTTTACATCTATGTTCATCAGGGATATTGGCCTATACTTTTCTTGTGGTAACTTTTTCTGATTTTAGTATGAGAGTAATACTTGCCTCATGACATAAATTTGCATATGTTCCTTCCTCTTCAAGTTTTGGAAACTTTTGAGAAGAATTAGCATTAATTCTTCTTTAAATGTTTAGTAGAATTTATCAGCGAAGCCATCTGGTCCTGGGCTTTTCTTTGTTGGTGGGTTTTGACTACGATTCACCCTTATTAGTTATAGGTATTTTCAGACTATTTCTTCATGACCCAGTCTTTATAGGTTGTATTTTCTAGGAATTTATTCATTTTTTCTAGGTTATCGAATTACTTGTGTATAATTAGTTTTTCATATAATCCTATATCACTTTAAGAGATACTTATTATTTTCCCCAATTATCAGAAAGACAAAATTAGTATCTGTTAATTTAGATGAGCCAATAGTTTCATATCTATTTAGCTTAAGAAATAAGATTTAAATTCAGGCTCCTTTGGTAACAAAGACTGTTACTGAAACATCAGGGATTTTTCTAGGTCCTGCTGCTTGCCTCACAGAAAGCCAATCACTGAGACAATAAGTGTTGGCATGGAAGAAGGCTTTAATCAGATGCTACAGCTGAGGAGATGGGAGATCAGTCTCAAATCCAACTCCCTGACTGACTAAAATTAAGGATTTATATAGCAGGGAAGAAATGTAACTACATGCAGGAAAACAGGAACTAGGGAGGGGTGAGAAAGAGGAGTCTGTCAACAGGAAGCAGGGGTTGCTTAAGTAATCATAATGGGTAAGGAGTCTGAAGTCTTATTGTCCAGATGCAATGACCTGGTAAGTTTGAGTTCCTTGATACTATCTGGGGAGCCTGACCATTGGTTTCCTGACAAAGGAACTCAGATAAAACAAATGTAACTTTCTCAGATTTTAAGATTAGAAGGGTTTGTTTCTTTGTTTATTCAAAAGAAACTGTTGAACATCAGTTCTTTGGGACAATTGGGTCAGTTTCAAGACAATTGTAATTTCACTGTTCTGTACTATTTCTGGTTTGAGAGTTTTGAGGTCAGTGTGTATGTTTATTTACAAAAAAGGCATGAGATAAAGTAGTAATAAATTATATAACAAAGTAGAAATTTATTATTGAATAAATATATTTGATTCACCTGAAATATTCATATAAACCAGTGTTTCTTTAGTTTGTGAGTCATTTATGATGGTGGCCCCTCCCAAATTAAGTCTGTTAAATCTTTTCTAATTTATTTAATTCAATTATGATACAATTGTGCTATAGACATTTACGAGTTTAAGAACATTTGTGTAAGTTCTTTAACTCATATGAAAATTCAACAATATTGATTCTTAAATTGAAAATTGCTTTATACTTCTATTTTTCTGGTGCAGAACTGTATCATTGTTTTTTCAGTTACCAAGTTGAAAACTTTTTCTTCTTCAGTTTTCATTTCTAAAGTATTAAGTTCAAGGATAAGTATTGTTTAGTGCCTCTCAAATATATATATATATTTTTCTCAGAACACTCTCTTGCTTTAATAAAAAGGTTTTAGGATAATGTGACCTGTATCTATTTCTCCTTTATCATTTCCCCAGAATCCCATTAATTTTCTCAGAATTCACTCTTTCCATATTCTTAGTGGTCATGTAAAGAACTATGGTAAGCTCCAACCATAGTTTGCTTTTAATTCAAGTTTTACAGCTATGATGTAATTAGACATTTTGTACTATTTAATTTTTGTGTAAAGGAATAAACTTCTTTAATAGTTTGTTATTTCAAATATACGAATGGTAAAAAAACAATATTATAGCTTATTTAAACACATTACTTGTATTATTTCTCTCTCTGTGTTATTTTTCTCATTTTGTTTGATTCTTAGGTGTGCCCTGTAAAGAGAGCTTTAAAAAGAAGAATACTGTTATTGAGAGCTTCAAGATCTATGAGAAAACAGTGTTAAGTTTTATTGACTGGCTTTCTTTTCAGTTACGAGACATAAAGTCTAAGGCTACTACTTATTTGGCTGAAAATATATCTCCTGAGATTCATAAAACTTGAGGACACTAGAACCTGAAACTTAAATTGAAAGCACTCTGACTTTCATATGCCCATCTTGGAACATTGTTTTTTTTGTTTAGTTTTCATTAACCTCTTTATCTTTTCCTCAAGTCTAATAAAGATGATCTCTTTTTCTGTGGACTCACTTCTGAAGAATATCATTTTCACATATAAAAGTTTCCAACTGTGCAATATTATTGTCATAAGAATCAAGATGGAACATATTTTATCATTAATGCATTTCTGATCTTTGAAAAATCTTAAATATATTTTATATTCAAATCTATAATTGTAAAAATGAAACAAGATTTCATATTTCATCTCATGAACAAATTTTCAATTCTTTTCACATTGTCAGGAGAATCTATCTTTTTCAAAGGTGGTTCAAAATATTTTTCTATTATGCCTTATAAAGATCAAGTCATGTTTAAGATTATATTTTTATATAGATGTTGCCCAATTAGTAAAATATATTTTATTGATTATAATATCAGTAGATAAAACAGAATAACAAAATCACAGTTCTATACATTTAAATATTATATCTCCATCAAATCACACTAGAGCTTCAAATTCTGAAGCTGAAAATGTTGATATGAATGTTATGTCTTGTTTAACAGCTGTTGCACAAATAATAGAGATATGTTAAAGGACTTTGCCAACTCTGGTTGATATATTTGAAAATGTTGATTGTGTTTATTTCAAATGGGGATTATTATGGCAGTTTTGATTTATTTTTCTGACAATCCTTGATTTCATTTAAAAAACAATCCATATATCTTATGCTAATGAGTTATTCTTCAATTCAGTCAGCATATTTTACTGGCTTTTAAGTTGTTTCTCTGTGTTTTATTATAATAAGCTGCAATATGTCAGTCTATGGACAACTAATTAATTATCAAAATCAATCTTAAAGTTATTCCGTAAAAAAATTTGAATTTCATTTATTGATTGTATTTGATATTTCTGTTTACAGTGAAATTCTTCAGTGTGCTGGTTCATAGAAACTTTGTTAATCTCTGAAGGAAAGTTGTGAATGAAGAAAGATAGAAATGTAGTATCATAAGCATAGAATGATATCCTTGGTACTTGTGCTTTTGTTTAATATATTCATTAAGTAGTCTCACAATAAACATTTCCTCTCTACGTTGAAGGAGGTGTCTAGTACACAGTTGCATTATATTAATAGGTACTGTAAATATTTTAAGTAAAATATTAATGTACAACCCTGAGACAAAGATCAGTGCTAAATATGATTGTTTGCATTTAACTTCTAAGTTTCAATCAAGACCTTATAAAAGACCTTTGATTTTAAAGTACCAGAGATTAATATAGATAGAAAAAAATATATGTACACTCCTTCCCTTGAGAAATCTCGGACATTCTATATCACTCCACACTCTATGTCAATAGAACTACCATTTGATTCCGTAATCCCACTAGGAGATATCTACTCAAGGAAAACAAATTATATCAAAAAGATGCCTGCACTTGTATGTTTATTGCAGCACTATTCACAATAGCAAAGATATGTGCTAATCTTATTAATATTTATTGTTGCACAGTGCTCTCTTGTTATTTATTTAAACCTTGAGTAGAGATGTCAATTTTTTGTTGTTCTGCTTTCATATTTTTGATCCTTTGATTTAATTTTTAGAAATGTATTTAAAAATTAAATTTATTTTTGCTAATTTCTTTTAGATATATTATGTATACTATATAGCTTATGAAAAGAATAACCAATTATAACTGAAGAAAACTTGATTTGTCATTTAAATTTTGTTTTAATGAACTTTTTAATGTTTCTGGATAAATTTATGTAAGGTTCCAGGCTTAAAAAAACCTGACACATAAGCCAGTTGAGCAGAAACAAGAAATAAATCCACATATTTACAGCCAACTGATTTTCAACAAAGGTGCCCAGAACACACATGGGGGGAAAAATGGTCTATTCAGTAAATAATGCTGGGAAAATGGAATTTTCATAAGATTGAAACTGGACCCCTATCTTTCACCATATGCAAAAATCAACTCAAACTTGATTAAAAACTTAAATCTGAGATCCAAAACCATTAAACTGCTAGTAGGTGACATAGAGGGAATGCTTTAGGACAGTGGTCCAGGCAAAGATTTTATGATTATCACCTCAAAAGCACCGGTAACAAAAACAAAGGTAGACAAATGGAGCTATATTAAACTAAAAACCTTCTGCACAGCCAAGGAAACAATCAAAGGGTGAAGAGAGAACCTACTGAATAGAAGAAAATATTTGCAAAGTATTTATCTGAAAAGGGACTAATATCCACAATATGTAAGAAACTCAAACAACAGTAAAACAAACCACATAATCCCATTAAAAAGTGGGCAAAGACATGAATAGACACTTTTTAAAAGAAGACTTACAAATGGTAAACAGTTATAAGTAAAGATGCTCAACATTATTAATCATCAGGAAAATGCAAATAAAAACCACAGTAAGATATCATTTATCTCAGTCAGAATGGCTATTATTAAAAAGAAGACAAAAAATAAAAGGTGTTGGCAAGGATGTGAAGAAAAAAGAACTCTTATATGTTGTTGTTACAAATGTAAATTACTACAGCTACTATGGAAAATGGTACAGAGATTTCCCAAAATACTAAAAATAGAGCTACCATTCAATCCGCAATCCTACTACTGGGTATTGATCCAGTATTTAGTATTTGAGATTTGGTATTAATACAAAGGAAAAGAAATCAGTATATGAAAGCAATATCTCACATTTATTGCAGCACTATTCACAATAGCACATATATGAAATCAAACTGTGTCCATAAAGGGATAATAGATAAAGAAAATATAATACATATACATGGTAGAATACTATTTGGCCACAAAAAATAATGAAATTGTGTCATTTGCATCAACATTAATGGAACTAGAAGTGAAAGTGTGTCTAGTGAAGTCTTAAGTGAAATAAGTCAGGCCCAGAAAGACAAACATATGGTCTCTCTGGTGTGCAGGAGCTAAAAAAGTTGATCTCACTCAGATGAATGATGAATTCACGCAGTAGAATGATGAATGCCAGAGACTGAAAAGGATGTGGAGTGTGGGGAAGACTGGAAGGATTAAGAGAAGTTGGTTAATGGGTATGAACATGCAGTTCGATAGAAGAAATATGTTCTAATGTTCAATACCCGAGGAGGGTGACTATAGTTAAGTACAATGTATCTTATATTTCAAAATAGCTAGAAGAGACTTGAAATGTTCCCAACACATAGAAATGATAAACACTAGAGACGATGGACCCCCTCAGATACTCTGACTTGATTATTACATATTCTGTACCTGTAACAAAATATCACATATGCCCCATAAATATGTAAAATTATTATGTATCAATTTTTAAAAAGACATGCCATGAATTAGAGTTATGTCATAGTGTCAGTGAGTCCAAGTATATTGTTACTGTATAAAAACTGCATAATCAACTAATGCTACACAGTGATCATATAAAGATATTTATTTGGTCAGATGAGTAACAAGAAAAGTTAAATCTTCTTTTTTAATTGCTAAGGAAGAGCATCATACACGTGATAAGCAATTCAAATTTTACTCTTATTAGACTAAAAAATTGTAAAGTTTAAAATCATGTCAGAATAATATAATTCTTAAATTTTAGTGTGCTTATTAGAAATCTATGACTACTAAATTAAACCATCTCTAAAAATTAACCTTTATTATAGGTTCTTGGGAAATATAATGTATTCATATCCATACTTAATTGGTCTTCTTTTTCTCAAAAAGTTTATCTACAAATTGCTCTGGATGCTAGAATATTTTTAGCTTGTTTGGTCTGAATGCATTAGACCTGGAGAAAAGGTAAAGTTTATATAATTAACCAGTAAAAGAATTTTTTAATCCCTCTCAAGCAATTAAAGAAACAAATGAATTTCTATGGTCATTTCTTATATTGAAGAACTGACCTATTTGACTCATTTCAAATTCTAGGTAGAAAAAAAGACAAAATTATGGAGGAACTACTTGTGTGGAAACAGGGTTGGAAGCTTGTGGATAGAAAAAGATGGAAAATGTCAATATTAACACACATAGAATTTACATGCGATCCCTTTTTGAGAGCTTTAGATATTAATTCATTTAAATGTCACAATAATCTTTTGAGATACAAACAGTTATTATTCCTGCATACTATACAGATGAGGAAACTAGGCACAGTAAATGTAAATCACTAATTAAGCTATCAGAACTGGCTAAAATTGAAGTAAGAATTTAAACCCATTTGGGCTGGAAGCATCTGTGCTGAATTGGAATTTCTCTTGATGAGAAGGCTCTTGGTTACTATGTATGCACCTTCAGTAAATAAAAACTTTCAATCCAGGTACCTACTCTATATTAGTAACTACATGTTTGGCTTATATTGACAGTGAATATATGGAGATCATAAAAATATAGCAAAATATTACAATCTACCATATGGATTTGTAACTCTATTATTTAAGTGATGTATATGTTTATACCGGGGAATTCAAATTATCATCAACTGGGGACTCTGACATTCAAAATTATATATCCTTCTCCCAAAATAATCAATGTGTTTCTTTAGCCAAGGTGACTAGAGTAATAATCTAGGCAATCAGTGTTTCTATTCTTCTTTTCATTGGGCTTTCGTAGACCTAAATATTTCATAATCTTTATTTTAAGTTGATCTACTTGTTCTTGGGGTTTTCATACGTTATCTTCAGAAATATTTAAGCATTGAAATCTTTAAGTTTTACTTTACATACTGAATAGTTCATTGATTTATATGAGTTATTCTATTCTATTGGAAAATAGAAACCTGTTTTCCCAGTTAATTTTCCAACTGTATTTTTCTTAGCTATTTTAAAAATTGGTGTGGTATATATTCTGAGCTTGTATATTTAGAACAGCAGTATTCAAATGGTTTGATATCAGAGACCCTTTACATGTTAAAAAAATGAGTCCTTTAAAAAACTTGTTTATGAGAGTTATATTAACTAACATTTGTTGTATTAAAATTAACACTGAAATAATTATTAAATATGTCTTTAAGTCAATTTAAGTAACAACAATAAATTTATGATATTTATGCTAACATAAATAACATTTTTGAAAACTAAATATTTTTTAAATCCCCCCAAATTGGTGAGAAGATCAGCATTGCTTTACATATTTGAAAATGTCCTTAATCTGGTTTAATAGAAGGCAACTGGATTTTCATATCTGCTCCATCATTTAATCTGCTCTGATATCAAAGCTCATGTAGCTTCTGGAAAATGCACTGCACATACATGAAAGAATCAGAGTTGAAAGGCAAATAACATTTCAGTGTTATTCTGAAAGCAGTATAGATCCCTTGGGCCTCCTAGGAAGGACTTGGAGACCTTCAGTAATTCCTGGGCGATACTTTCAAATCATTGCTTCATGAGAGTAGTTTAGAACCACAGGTAATTTTTGCTACCTAGGATACATTTGGCAATGTCTGGAGATATTTTGGGTTGTTACAACTGAGAAGAAGGTGCTAATATTACTAACCACACTACAGTGCACAAGACATCCCCCCTCCCACAACAACAAAGAATTATCTCGACTAAATTGCCAATGGTACTGAGGTTGAGAAATTGTTCTAGGATAACTTAAAATATGCAAGCTCTAATAATGGAAATCATATACACAGTTACACACTTAAAACTAAATACTAGTTTCATGATTGCAGCCCAAACTTATAAAAAGTATTTCTCTGAGATTCAATGCTATAAATGTTCCAGTTTAATATCATTAAGTAGTTTTCGTCTTTAAATATGCCAGTCTCTCCTATAGAAAAATGATCTCCTTTTATGAGAAAAATAGTTACACTCACTGCGCTAACTCAATACCAACACTTCATTCCAATTTACTCAGTTCTTAGTCTCTTTTATACCACTCCTTTTCTGTATTAGGATAGGAGTAAGAATAAGAAGAATTGGAGAAGGAGGAGCAAGAGGAAAAGAACCATATTTTGAAACTATAATTAAGGAAAACATACCTTTTTCTTCTTTATTGCTTCAAAATCAATTATCTAATTACTTTTGTACCTTCTTTACCAAGTTTCATCTTCTAAATCTAGTAAATAGTAGTCATCCTTGGCCAATCTTCCTTTTCTCTATCTGTTCTATCTATCTATCATCTATCTATCTATCTATCTATCTATCTATCTATCTATCATCTATCACCTATCATCTAATCTATCTATTTCTCTAGCTATCTATTTCTCTATCCATCTCCCGGCCTATGAAAAGATAATAAAAATAATTAATTATTAGGTAAATGCAAATTAAAACCACAGTGAGATATATCTTCACACATACTAAAATGGCTAAATTATTTTAAGAAAAAATTAAATAAAAGACTTATAGTACCGAGTATTTGTGAGGCTGTAGAGAAATTGGAATTCTCATGTATTGCTGGTAGAAATGTAAAATGTTACAGCTACTTGGAAAAATCTTGGTTTTTTGAAACATTTAACATGTGCGTACCATATGATGCACCAATTTAACCCCTAAGTTTTCACCTGAGGGGCATGAAAACATTTCCACAAAAGACTTCATTCAAGTGTGCATAGCATCTTAATTCATTATAGCCTCAAACTGCAAACAACAATGTCCTTCAACTGGCAAATAAATTAGCAAAATGTGTATTTCATAGAGTGGAATACTGCTCAGTAGAAAAATGAGCACTTTTCTGACCCGGGAAACAACACAGTTTTATCTCAGAAACATGTTAAGCAAAAGTAGCCAAACATAAATGACTGCATTTTACATGAATGTATTTATATGAGATTGTTGCAAAAGTCAAACTTATAGATAGAAAGCAGATAAGTGGTAACCTAGAGCTGGCAAGAGAACAGAGATAGATTGCAAATGAACATGAGGAATTTTTGAAAGTTGATGTGAATGTACTAAAACTGGATTGTGATAGTGGAAAACTTTATAAATTTACGAATACTTGTTGAAATGTACACGTAAAGCAACGTAGAAGTCAACACTAAAGTAGAACTAAGACAAAAAAAAAGTTAAGAAGAATACAATAGGTTCCTTGGGGAGATGATCAAGTGCTTCCTTCTATATTAAATATGACCATGTAAATCTTTGCCTTAGTCTTCCCATGCCAACATATAATGAAAGGAGCTAAAGAAGATATCGTTAGGGCCTCCCTACCTAGTACACACATTCCTTTAAAAAGGTCTTTAAAAAGTTCTGGCCTTGTGATTTGGCTTCCTGATATACCTGGGTGGGACTTCGGATAGAAGAATATTTCTCACATATTCTGGTCTCTGAACAATCCAGAGCAAAACACAATTAATTATTTCTTAATAATTTATTACTAGCCTTAGATATGAGCAGAGTATGGATGAAAATGTAGTCATAAAATGAAGTTTATTTTGAATCACTTTGCTGTGCCTTAGAGTACAAATATAGGTATTTTAAAATTTATGAACAAAGATTTAAGGAACATGTTTGTTTTATAGTATATCAAATCTTATTATTATTACTAATGTTTATTAAAGCATATGATTATTACAGTGAAAGATCAAAAAGTTTATTCTAAATGTTTTCTGGAAACCAATTTTTAGATTTTAAAACCCCAGAATGTGAATTTCTATAAATAGATTTGAAAAATAATTGAATGATAGCATAACATTAATTTATTAAATAAATAAAATATGAAAACCAAACCATCATATAAAAAAATTACAGTATATTTCCCATTAACAAAGGAAATGGGAAGATAACCATCTTATGCAGAAATAACTTGTGATCAAGGTGAAAAGAACAGTGTAATAAATCTCTCCTGAACTTTCTTCTCATATGTTTATTCAGTTGAACCAGATCCTTATGAAGAGCATAGATACTAATAAGAAACAAAATAAAAAATCAGTAACGTATCTTCACAGACAAATGTTAGAGAAATATACACCTAGGGATTTAATTTTCATAAGCATTTTGTTAAAAATAGTATCAAAATGTTTTCCATTGTTTTGTCCTTTATATGAGTAAATACAGCAAGAATAATATATAATTAAATGTAAAGAAAACTTTGATCTATAAGAGAGTTATGGACTTAATACAGTAAAGACAGTAAATAAATTAATTTTTATTTCAGGTAGGAACACTTGAAACATTTAGTCTTGCTTCTCTAAACTCTAAATTTCTGTTTTAAAATAACAGCATTTCACTCTACTGCAGTAATAAATAACACCTTCAAATTAAGCATAAGCAATTTAGTTTTTACAGATTAGAAATAATTGGGATGAACAAATTAAGTGATCTATAGAAGTCGTATTCAGGACAGATAATGGTAATGACGTTCAGAATTATTACCTTTGTGAGACATTAAGCCACAAATAAATCATCAAGGAAAACTTTGAAATTAAAAAGTGCACAGATGCAGACTGCATTTGAAATACATATACACAAAATAATCAGTGCATCATTGGATTTCATAACATTGTTTCAGCAATTCCGGAGCCCTTTGAGAACTTTCAGGGAGTTCACAAGGTCAAGATCATTTTCATACAAACGTTAAGACAATATTACCCTTTTTTTTTTACTGTGTGTTGACAATGCACTGTTATGAAATCAATGTGGATAAAATTGCTTATATTTTGACATCAATGAAGGCAGTCTTTCCAACTTGAATTAGTAGTTATTATATTCTGCACTACCATGAACTCACTGGGGTTGGGAGTGTAGAGAGCCAGTTTTACTTAAGAATGTCCTTGAAAAAGCAGTGAAAATATTAATTGTGTTATATCTCTATTCCGGAGTGCTTTAAAAAAATTATTTGTGACGAAAAGGAAAATTCTTATAAAATTGCAATGGTTGTTTTAAGGAAAAACATTTTTTGTGACTGGCTCATAAACTGAAATAGTTGCTTTTATTCACAGAATACCAATTTCATTTAAAGGAATGACTGACAGACAAACTATGGCTCTTCAGATTGATTTGGGTGTTACACAGTTTTCTGTAAATGAACTACATAAGCCAGCCACTTCAAGAACAATGATAGTACGCATGACCATTTATAAAATCCAATCTTCTAGGAAAAATTGTAATTTTATGAAGCTGGTATTGACCACCAAACCTTGACAGATTTGCAATATTTAAGAATCTTCTATTGAGATTGGCAATAATATTTTTATATCAAATAATGAAGTGTATCAACTTCTAGAACATATTTGTAACTTAGTGAACCAACATATGTCAAATGACCAATGCATTAAGATACATAAGCATGTATACAGAAAATATGCTTTCGAAGTTCAAGATAAGTCAATGAATTTTAATGTAAAATGATACAAAAATTCATTGTTATGTTCTTAGATTCCACATTACAGCCAAACTTTTAAGAAACTACCACCTGTCAAGTTTTGGTATAGTACCAAAGAAGAATATTCATAATTATCTGAAAATTATTATAATGCTTCTACCTTTTTCAGCTAGATATTTTTGTTAAGTCAAATTTTCTTGATATACTTCAACAAAAATATTAATAACATATTGTAAGATATTGAATGCAGAAGAAACGTGAAAAGCTAGATGCCTTTTGTCTAGACATTAAAATGATCTGCAAAAATACTGAGTGATACCACTCCTCATTAATTTACGTTTTGGTTTTGGAAAATTCAGTTATTGTTCTCAAAAAATACATTTTCATGTTGACATGCGATGGATTTATTTTTGTTATTTATAAGTGAATAAAATGTTTTAAAAATTTTCAGGTTTTTTTTTTCTAACAGTAAACATAGGTAGAAATAACTCATAGCATTAAGGTTCTTTAAAATCTTTAAGTCTATTTTTCAAGGCTGTAATAAATTTAAGAGACCAAATGTTTGAAAATTGCTATAATGCATCCTTAAATATTTAAAGTGTTTATTTAAAAAACAAATAAAAGACTATGTTTAGAATCTTCATTAATGCAATTTTTAAACAAATTGTTTTCCAGGAAGCAGATATTTAAAAATCTTAGACTAGTTGTCTTGTAGGGTTAGATATGAAAGTAGTAATAATCTATTAATCAGAAAATAAGATTCTTGTAGTGTTAGCACATGACAAGCTATGGCAAAATATTTACCTAAATTATCACCTAATTCCCTTTAGAAAAAAGAAATCGATATCTAAAGATATACCTATAAATGTTCTAAATTTGAACATTAAATTCAGGTTTTCTTTTTTGATAAGAGCATGTGCATATATACACGCACACAAATATATGTGTTTACACAAACACACATGTGCAAGCACTTATTTTAGGTAATCCGTATATAGAAAAGTAAACTAGAAACTTTTCAAAATAGTTACCTAATGGTGTTGAGTGGGTGGAGACAATAGGAATAGGGTCAAGATTTCTCAATTGTAAGATAGCCTTGATTTTGAGCCTTGCAAATAATTTACCTATTTGAAAAATAAACATTACTTGAGAACAAAAGCAAATCCTAAAACTGTACAAAAAGGTAAATCAAATTGCAATATAACCAAGTAGAAAATATTTTTTAAGTAAAATTTGAGTACAGCTATCTTGTTACTAGGATATATTCTATGCCCCAAAACAACTGCAGAGAAATGCTAAATTTCTTCAAGGAACTTTATTTCTAGAAGCAATAATGGTATTTTATGTTTGAATATAGTTATACTTTTATAATAAAAACAACAAATGCACTAAGTTATAAAGAGCTAAGCCTTTTTTTGGAAGCTAAAATTTTTATAATAATAGAAAAAGGACTTAAAACATAGAATAAGTTAAGAAAAAGTCTTCATGTTAATTTTGAAATGGAAATATTAACTTGAAATTGAGAATGATGGCAGTCCCAGTCAACAAGAAGGAAACGAAGATGACCATAGCAGCCAGTGATTCACAGCAGTTCTGAATTCCTGCCCAGTACATACTGCCAGTTCCTTAATTAGGACCCAGTTCTACTGCCTAAAAATGATTTGCCATAGTTTTTGGTTCTTTTTTTTTTTCAGCTACATAATTTTTACTTTATATTTTATCTGCTGGTCATGGAAACAAAAGCCTCTTGTTTTTGAACAGACTTTGTCATTTTATAGTCCAATTTGGTATAATTTCTTTTAAAATATTGGCAGCTCTGTGTATATCAAATTATAATAACACTTCTCTAAACAAAATTAAGCACACAGTGTAATTCAAACAAGCACTTCTATACCTTAGGACTGCTGAAATCTATGACGACATGACATGACTCCTTTAAGATTCTTAAATCGTTAATCTTTGTTAATTAACAGAGCTGGTCTTTCACAATTATGATCCTTAGAAAGCTTGTGCACGTCAGACAGTCTATGAGACGCCATCCTTGACTTCTTTACCTTTAAACTATATCTTTATGCTCTGGATTTGATATTTGCCTGATGCTGTTACTTTATTTGAGAACTTCTTGTTCTCATTTCCCCCGAGTTAATTAGGTAACCATTCCAGATTCTAAGAAAATATTCCATTATTGCAAGCACCTTCTTTCTCCAACTTCCAATAACATTTTCCTCACTGCCATTCAAGTCCTTACCAACTGTATCCTTAAGGCTCTTCCAAATTCTGCCTGCTGTTTCATCCCAAAATCAGTTCCACTTGTTTTACGCTATTGGTATGGAAGCAACTAATTTCCATTCTCATTCACTTAGATTGCTATGAGGTTTCCATCTTATCTATTGAGATGCTATTGGTTTAGAAACAACTCATTTACAACTCATCTATTGTTGCAAAACAAACTCTCCCAAAACTTAGGGGTTCAAATAAACTATTATATTTTGC
The DNA here is from genome assembly GCF_000001405.40 of Homo sapiens. Taxonomy (NCBI): domain Eukaryota; kingdom Metazoa; phylum Chordata; class Mammalia; order Primates; family Hominidae; genus Homo; species Homo sapiens. The sequence goes on along the minus strand of NC_000013.11, from coordinate 89,633,612 downwards.
TCACAAGTTTTGATCAAAAATTTAATTTGGCTTAATTGGGTGATTCAACTGTGATCCACATATAATCGATGTCACACATCTTATTGAACTAGCAGATTATATTAGTTTTCTAGGGTTGCCATAACTAAGTACTGAAAACTTGGTGGCTTAAAACTACAGACACTTTCTCACAATTCTGGGGACTAGAAGTCCAAAGTGAAGATGACATCAGAGCCATCTTCCTTTCTGAAAGCTCTAGGTGAAAACCCCCAGTGTCTCCTCCTAGCTACAGGTGACTCCCAGCAATCCTTAATATGCCTTGGATTGTTGCCTTACATAATAATTTCCATTTCTGCTTCTGTCTCCACATAGAGTTCTTCTCTATGTCTTCTCTTCTTTTTAAATGGATGCCAGTGGTTGGATTTAGGGCCCATCCTAATTCAAGATAATTTCATCTGGAGATCTTTAATTAAGAACATCTGCAAAGACTATTTTATAGTAAGGTTATATTTTGAGATTCCTGGTGGACATGAATTTGGGGAAGATATGAAGGGTATTATTTTACTTGTAAAGTGTTGTAATATCATTTGAAAGTAAACTGTGATTAGATTTAAAATGCATGTTGCAAATTCTATAAGTATTAGTCTTCTGTGGTTCCCATAACAAATTACAAACTTAGGGGCTTAAACCAGCACACCTAATATGATTGGACATTTCTGTAAGACAGCAGTCCTACACAGTATTATAAACTAAGATCAATTTGTCAACTAGACTGTATTTCTTTCTAGAGGTCTAAGGAAGAATCCATTCTTGCTTACTCAGGTTGTTGGCAGAACTTAGTTACTTGTGGTTACAGAATGAAGGACCCCATTTTCTTGCTGGCTGTCATCAGAGGGCCATCCCCAGTCTCTTGGCCCAAGACTTCTTTCCTGCATGCTCAGGGCCAGCAAAAGTGAGCTGAGCCCTTCTCAGGCTGCCTGTCTCTGATTCCTCTTTCCTTGTTGCAGCTTTCTCTCTGATCCTCATGGGAAAATGTCTCCTACATTAAGGACTCCTGTAGTTAGATTGGGCCTACTTGGATAATCCAGAATAATTTCCCTATCTCTTCATTCTTGACTTTAATATCATCTGGGAAATCTCTACTGCCATGTAAATTAACACACTCATAAGTTCTGGGAATTAGTGTATGGTCATCTCTGAGTGGCCAGTATTCTGTTTGCTGAACTATAGAAATCATTAAAACTATAAAAAATAGTAGCAATACAAACAAATAATAGGACATAATCATGGAGGTAGTTTCAAAAATATATGAAGCAAAAACAGAAAAAAATAAAGAGCTCTAGATAAATTCACAGTTAAAGTTGGAGATATCATCATTCTCTCAACAGTTAATAGAACAAGTAGAGAGAAAATCAGTAAGATATAAAAGACAAAGATAGTGCTATCATCCCACTTGACCTACTTAACATTTAAAAAATGCCACATGCAACAATGACAAAATGCATATAGTATTCAAGTAGACCATGATAAGTTTCAATTACACTAGACAGACCATGTGATGGATCACAAAACAAAGCCCAATGTATCTCAAAGATTGAAAATATAAAAAGTATATACCCTGATGACTTTGAAATTATATTTAATTTTTTAAATAAAATGATACCTCAAAAATCCTCAAATAATTAGAAATTAGACAACAAAATCCTAAATAACCTATGGACTCAGGAGAAAATTGCAAAGAAAATTAGAAAATAAACAGATAAAAGCAAAACCTATCAAAATCTGTAGGATGTAGCTAAAGATATTCTTTAAATAAATTTATAGCTTTCTACGCTTATATTTGAAAAGAAGAAATGTTTAAAAATAATGACCTTGGTATTTTTAAGGAGCAAAAAAAGATAAGCATATTATACAAAATTCAGTAGAAGTAAGGCAGTAATAATGATAAGAGCAGAAATTAATGAACTAGAAAGCAGGCAAATGAAAGAAATAATAAAAAGTAATAAAAAGTTAGTTTTTAAAAGTAGCAATTAAATTGGTAAACTTTCTGCTAGACTGATTAAGGAAGAAGTAAGAAAAAAACAATTTAACAAAACTGATACCATGAAAAATTAGAAAATCTGAACAACGTTATATTGGTTGAATAAATCAAATTAATTATTAGAAATAACTTCTCACAGAAAACTCTGGGCTCACATTACTTCACTGATGAATTCTATCAAATATTGAAGAAATAATATTATATTTTTTTCAGAAAATACAGATGAAAGAAGGAATATTGCTAAACTTATTATGCCAATATAATTCTGAAATAAAACCACATAAAAATGACAAAATATAGTGCATTGATTCTAGCTATATATAGAAAAGATAATGACAGCCAGGCATGGGTGGTCATGCCTGTAATCATAGCACTGCAGGAGGCTGAAGTGGGAGGATTCCTTGAGGCCAGGAGTTCAAAATCAGCCTGGGCAACAGAAGGAGACCTCATCTGTATAAAAAATTAAAAAGGCTCGGTGCGGTGGCTCACGCCTGTAATCCCAGCACTTTGGGAGGCCAAGGTGGACGGATCATCTGAGGTCAGGCATTCGAGATCAGGCTGACCAACTTGGTGAAACTCCAACTCTACTAAAAAGACAAAAAATTAGCAGAGCATGGTGGCACACACATGTAATCCCAGCTACTTGGAAGGCTGAGACAGGAGAATTGCTTGAGCCCAGGAGGCGGAGGTTGCAGTGAGCTGAGATCACGCCATTGCACTCCAGCCTGGGTAACAACAGCGAAACTATCTAAAAAAAAAAAAAAATTAAAAATTAAAAATTAAAAAAAAATTCAGGCATGGTGGCACACACCTGTAGTCCCAGCTACTCAGGAGGCTGAGGCAGAGAAATTGCTTGAGTCCAGGAGTTTGAGGTTACAATGAGCTGTGATCATGCTACTGCACTCCAGCATAGGCAAGTGAGCAAAACATTGTCTCTAAAAAAACAAAAAACTTTAAAGAAGATAATGAAACTTTATTAAGTAGGGTTTAACCCTGGGATGCAAACGTTTTAAACATCTGAAAATCAATCAATGTAATTTATCACTGGGAAAATAAAAAATAACCCATAAGATTATGTCAAAAAGAAAATTTATTTTAAAAACTCAGTACTCATTCATGATTTTTAAAAGACAAAAAACAAAAACACATACTCTTTTGTTTTTCGTGTTTTTGTTTGTTTTGTTTTGTTTTTGAGATGGAGTCTTGCTCTGTCACCCAGGCTGGAGTGCAGTGATGCAATCTCAGCTCACTACAGCCTCTGCCTCCCGAGTAGCTGGGATTACAGGCACCTGCCACCATACCCAGCTAATTTTTGTATTTTTAGTGGAGATGCGGTTTTGCCATGTTGGCCAGGCTGGTCTTGAACTCCTGACATCAGGTGATCTGCTTTACTTGGCCTCCCAAACTGCTGGGATTACTGGCGTGAGCCACCGCGCCCAGCCTAAAAACTCATACTCTTAGAAATCTAAGAATAGAAAAAAAAAAATCAACCTAATAAACTTCATTAATTAAAAATCTAGAGCTAATATCTTAATTAGCTTTGAAAAGACAAACCAAATTAGTCTGAAACAAAGTGCAAAGAAGATAGAAACATAAAACTGTTAAGACAGGAAGACCTCTTATTTTAAAAGTAAGTTCAAACCAAGTAAATCTGAGCACCATTTGAATCTTTGATACTCAGACTTGCTATGAAACCTTAGGATCCTTCTACATTTAGATAAGTTGCTGAGCTATCTTTTGTTATCTGCATCACTATGATGTTAACTCTCATCATTTATTATCTAAAATAAGTAGTTAATACATTCAGCTAGTGATGGATACTTGTACATCAGTGCTTTTAAAAAAAGATGCTTTAAATACTCTGAAAAATGACATTTTCAGGTTGGAAATACATTTCCAACTACAGGCACATCTAAAATATAAGGATACACATCCATTAAAAATAAAAGTGAAAATATTTATTCCATACAAACAGTAATCAAGAGACTGTATTAGTAAAATTTAAAATATTAGAAAAAACCTGAAGCATAATTTTTAGAGATACATTTCTGAGAGGTAAAATTATAAATACAAACAAAGAATTTATTTCCATAAAAGTCGGAATGTTGGTTACCTTTGGTGGGGGATAGGGTCACGTAGAAAATATATAAGGTGCTACGTGCTACAAATGCTCCATTTTGGCCTGAATCTTGATTATATAGGTGCATTTTTCTATATGTAGTATTTGTGTTATATTTTACAATAAAAATGTTACAGAAAAGATGCGGGTGTTAGGATTCATATTATGCCCTCATTTGACTCATGAATTTTGACCATTTGTATGACAGATGAACTATGGAGTGTGCAATGATAATAAAGTTAGTCAATTAGTAGTTTCCTTGCTGAAACAAATCAGTGTAGCCCCTCATACAATATCTAAGCAGCATCAACTCCCTGGCAATCTGTCATGATATTCTCACAGTCCCATGAGATACGATGCTGGCTCACTATGGGGCTGAAGTTTTGTATGCTCAGAACCTGCGTCCAATATGTGTACTGCTTCTCCCATAGCCAGAACACACAGGTAAAGACTCAAGAGGTGGAAACAGGAGTAGCTCTTTTCCATTTTGGGGCTAAAATTCTTGCTTTTCTTACAACCTGGGCTTTACTGGTTTACAATTTTAGTTTCCGTATGTCTTAGTTGGTTTGGCCTGCTATAAAAAAAGTACCATAGACTAGGTGGCTTGTAAGCAACAGAAATTTATTTCTCACAGTTCTATATTCTGGAAATCTGAGATAAAGGTGCCAGTGCTATCTGGTTTGAGTGAGGGCCATCTGTCAAGCTGCAGACTGCTGACTGCTCGTTGTTATCTCACACAATAGAGAGAGGGCTAGAGCATTCTCTGTGGTCTCTTTTATGATGGCACAAATTACACTGATGAAGACTTCACCCTCATGACGCAATTTTACCTCCCGAAGCTCCCATCTCCTAATATCATCACATCGGTGGTAAGTATTTAAACATATCAATTTGGACAAACAGTCCATAAAACCATGTATTGAGTATTTTATTGAGTAGTCACAGTAATAGTCCCTCTGAACTGGAATTTAAAATTGCTATTTGTCATTTGGGAATCCTCATAATATTGAAATAGATGATGAAAGAGATTAATCTACCAGCTGGGTGATTGATCTTGCTAGTAAAGATTATAACATCTGTTTTCTAAAAAAATTATTGGCATAAATAAGTGAAAAATATAATTTGATTTGATCCCTTTTTTTGATTTTCTGAAATCCAGGTGAGATTTTCCTTGTCACTTCACCCTCAACACTTCTCATGGTTGTTTAAGCTGCTGATTCACTGTCATAAGTCCCTTACTCATTACATGCCTAAAGTCGCTGCTGACTAACAAGCCTTATTTAGCCTTGGAGTTAGGTAAGTAATTACAATATGAGTTATACTACAGATAAAAATAATTCCACAGTCACTGCCCATACTCTCTGTTTTTCACTGCATGTTCACATTTGTTTAATGCCTTGTGAAGTAACAAGTTCTATTTTCAACCTTATCAGAGAAGGAATCTGGACTACATTCAGAAAACCCAACTAGCGGTAGCTACAGCATCATAGAAATTCCTTTTGCTTATGTTATAACTTTTAAGATGGGTTGGCCTAAGATTTGTTCAAAAATTCAAACATATCATCATCAATATCTAGGCTGTCTCTTATCTGTCAGTACTGGCATCCTTGGTTATTGTCCTCAGATATGACACCACACATCACCAGATAGCCATCGTAACCCTTTACATTGCATTCACAAATAAGAGAAGAAAAGTCGCAGGTATTTGGCCAACAATATCTCATTCTATGTCTGTCCCTTTAATAAATGGCATCATGCATACTACCCTTAAAAATCCACAATAATCTAAGTAAGATTCACCACATCCCGTTTTATAAGTGAGTAAATTGAAGATGGAAAAGAGACAAGCAAAGAAGTGATGGAGCCAGTATTTGATGGCAAAACCTATGTACATTGCAGTAAAATTATATAAAATGTTAATGAATGGCCATCGATATAATAAATGTAGTATGCAATAAGGGTAGAACAATTTGGTAGACATATAATATTAGGAATTGGGGAATAAAACTAGAATGGAGGCATAGATATGGAAAAAGTACATGAATGATGGCTGGAAATTCTATGTAAAGAAATTTCCATCTTCATTGTTACTACACTCCATCTGTGCAATAGTCTTTGTTTCCCAAGGTTGTACTGGAGGGACAAGAGCTGATTAGAGTTTCCTGTGTTTCAAATATTTGGTTTTTGAGTTGTCCTGAATCTACCATCCGTGTGTTTTTCTTGTCTTTCTTAAAAATACTTATTATAAATCATTTCCATGAATGACAAGCGAAAGTTAAGAAAAGAGGACTTACCGAGTCAAGATTAGTCTCAGAATAACTCCAACATCTGTTCAAGTGGGGCCATATGATAGTGGTTGAGGATGATGTCTGGAGATAAAATCCAGCCAAGCATTTTATGGCCCAGATTTAGAAAACAAAGGCAGTAGGTCTGAAAGTACGGCATTCAGTTCATAGATGGGAAATACAAACATGCTGGAGATACAGAGGTAGTGGAGAGGGAAGGGTCAGCATCCCTCTGTTTTTCTGTAATAGGTTAAAGATCTTACTCTCTTCTTCCATTCTCCCACACGCTAAAGGCAAGAAAACAAATTTTTAATACCCCAAACTACAGGCCACATGGGATGACTAAACAGAAGTTCAGAAAATTCTTCTTTTTCACCCGAGGCCATTCGTGCTCCTTTTCTGCCTTCACTTTCCAGTCACTTTAACTGTATTCCTTGGTTTCCCCTTTTTCTTTTGCCCTTTTAGCACCTGCAGTTTCATATCCAGACTTCCCTTGGGAAGTTCATTTAGAAATCCAAGATGGAATTTGTTGGCCACAGTTGCTGTCCACATAGCCCTTGGGTCAGAATCTGTGACCCTGGTTCCTCCTGTTGTGACTCCACAGCCATTCTCCCCCTACCCCAAGGTAATTCCTACATTTCTAGAAGCAGTTTACACTTCATTCTCTGGCCTTACTTACATACATTCATGTGGCTGAAGCTGAGATCCATCTTTCTTTTTATACCTTGTGTCACAATGACCCCTTCAAAGAAAAGCTCAGTATTAATATTGCCAGAGATACAACTTCCAATTGCTGCCTTGCCTCTTGTTTTGCCAGTTTGTCCTCTGATTCTCATGTCATTGCCATTCTAAATTCTACATGAATTTTCCACTTACCTTCTAACACAATAACATAAGCTTGGAAAAAATAATACAGATTTTGAGTGGCTGCAGTGCAAAATGGAAAGAGAATATAAGGTGGTGGCTAAGGGTATGGGATCTAGAACCAGACCACATTATTTTTTATTTATTATGTGAGGTTGGGAGTTATAATCTCTCTTTTGTATTTTATCTTCCACATTTGAAAATAAGGTTAATAGCATTATCTACTTTGTAAGGCATTTATGAAGATTCGATGAATTAATCTTTTTATAATGCATAAAAGCACATGGTAAGTCTTATACAAGTATTTACTCAAATAAATGAAATAAAATTATATCAATGACAAAAATATCTGTGTCTGTCTTACTCAACTACAGTAATAGATCGCATCCTTTAGAGAAAGGAGTTTCCCTGAAGGAAATTAAACAGTCTATTAGAATTAATCTTTAGAAAATGATAATCTTGGGGCAATACATGAAGCATTGGGGTTAGAGTCTTTGCATGAAGTAGAAAGAGAACTCTCAGGACAAAATATTTCTCTGTTTTTTTCTAGCATTATCAATAAGAGAGAAAATTGTTTTTTTAGAAGTGGGATCTCATCAGGTCCTGTCCAGTTTAAGGGTAGATTGAAGTGAGAGAACAAGATAGTCTTATAAAAGACACTTAGCTTGGGCTGTGGTTTTCTCTATCCTTACTACACCGAGGAAAGTCTGTGGACTAGAAGCATCATCTGGGAGCTTATTAGAAATGTAATATGTTGGGAGTCAACCCAGCCCTATCAAATCAAAATTGTTAATAGTGGGTTCTAGGAATCTTTGTTATAATAAGCTCTCCAGAGGATTCTTATGCATGCAAGAGGTGGGGAATGAACACTCTTCATTATATTCTTCATTGGACTATAAGAATATACTCATTAAAAGTTATATCCACAGATCAGCTTGTGCTTTGGAGAATTAGGAGAGAATTCATGATTGTATTGAGGACTGCAGAAGAGAACGGAGTGCTCCTCTAGGTTCAGATGGGAGAATAGAAATGGCAGAGAGAATTTGCTGTGACTAAGGCTATTGTTGGCTGACAACAAAAATATCAAATGCGGGGAAAATGGGAAAACTCCAGAACAGCCTGAAAGATTTTTCTTCCTGAACACATAAGAGGCCAGAGCTTTAAAAACTCTCACAGATTACTGGGGTAAGAATTGGTGATGGAATTATTTTTGATAAGTAACCTGTCTGAGGCTTAGTACTTATAGCTTGTGTATGGAAAAATAATGGGACCATTTTATTTTTCTCATTGAAGAATGAGGCCGGCTATAGACAGCATCTGTCTGGCCCAGATTCCAGGCCAAACATTAGCTCAAGAAAGCATAAATCAAGGACTTTTAACTAACACTGTATCTACTCAACTTTCGTGTCAATCTTATGCTCCCATTCTGCTGGTGTCATTGAGGTCTCATTGACCTTTTTTGTGTTCATTCTCCATACCAATAAATTGCTCCAGTGATTTATTTTCAGTACCTCCATAATTCTTGCTATTCTCCTTCAAAAATACTATGTTCTCCACCATGTAGTAAAATCCCTGTTAATATCTGAGAGACTTTCCTCAATTCCAAATGTCTTTTGGATTTCTGATTTTAAAATAGTCCTGGCTGCCCATCACTGACATGAGATACCAGTTTGTGCTTGTCTGCCAGAGACCACACTGTCTCTGGTTTGATCCTTCCAATTTTCTCAACCCCAATTCCCTTCCTGCTTAAATGTACACTATCCCATTTAGAAAGTATTGTGCCCTATGTGTGGATCTCCCTTCCATGAGTTTGCCTCCAATGCCAAAGCACAAGTAAAAAATAGTTTCTTTTGAAGGCACTGCTCCCATGACTATCAAATCATCCCAGTATAGCAAGAGCTATCTGCTCCTCCCCATGACAACAATAAGATTATGCTTTAGAGAATGCAGAAACTACATATGTATTAGCATTAACTGTCTTTTTGTTATTCCATAACACTTAAATGAGGAATGTGAGTACCCCATCACATCTGATATCCTATATGCATGTGAATATGTGTGTGTGTGTAATGTTTTTCTTCTTTATAATACTGATATTTAATTTAAATTAATGGAAAATACCTCACCATTTGGAAATAGCATGGTATTTTTAATACAGTATAGATTTAAAACTTAGCTTATTATGTTGTAGCTATGTGACATCAGGATGTCAATTTACTGCTCTAAGCTTCTTCTATGAAATAGTCATAAGAAATACCTTTAAAGAGTGACATTAAGATGGAATTGGGTAGTATATGTCAAGTTATTGTCTCATGGAAGAGTCTGTAAAATGATTACCCACCTCAACACTATCATCAATATTTGCTAAGTTGTATGAAAGACCTATTTATCACACACAAGATGATGCTTTCTTACATTAATTTTAATACATAATGTATTCAATATATATTAATACATTAATGCTATATATGTGTGTAAAACATATTTTCTATCCATTTTTACAATATTCCTCCTAGCCACTTGAGTTAGAATCTATAATTATTTCTATTTTAAATAATTTTTTATTGCATAGGGACAACATTACTTTTCCAAGTTACACAGGTAAATGCTGGTGGAGAAAACATGGAAGCTCAGATATGACTGACATCAATGCCTGTGTTAATACTGGTTAATGAATAAATGCTAAGAGATTAAAAACAAAAGAAAAAGAAAATATGAAAATTAAAAGGGTAATGGGAAAAAGTAAGGGAAGTGCTCATCTCTTATTAAAGGAACTCAATCCATTAAAAAGTGTTACAGTAGTAGTATGAATGTTATTATTTCATTTTATATGTGCTCAATATGCATGGGTATATGTAATTCCTGGCTCAAACTGAGTACCAAAAAAAAAAAAACAAAACTCATTTCTAAAAGGCACTTAGTAATTCATAAGTAAGTCTGCTATCTTGTGGTAAAATTGCATCTTAATATAAAACTTCAAAAATTAATCAGCCAATTGAACACATTAAGCTTTTGCAAAGGCTTTTATTGGCTCCTATATATAACTTAGAATTTAAGTCATATAAAATGCACTGAGAGAATGCAATGAATATAATAAGGCAGCATGTGACTTTATTTAAAAGTCAATTAAAAAATCGGAAGTCTTAAAATATGATAATACAAGTTGCATTAAAATATAACAATAGTATTTGCTCATGAATAAGTAAAAATGTCTTGATATAAAATAGAAATGAATTTGTTTTTCTTATGATATGGTATAGTTAGGATATGTGTCCCCTCTAAATCTCATGTTGAAATGTAATCCCCAATGCTGGAGGTTGGGCTGGGTGGGGGGTGATTGGATCATGTGGAGGATCCCTTATGTCCTGGTGCTGTCCTGAATGAGTGAGTTCTCTCAAGATCTGGTTGTTTAAAAGTGCATTGCACCTCCCCCTACTTTCCCTCTTGCTCCCACTCTGGCCATGTGCCATGTGATGTGCCTGCTCCCACTTCACCTTTAACCATAAGTAAGAGCTACCTGAGGTCTTCCCAGAAGCCAAGCAGATGCCAGCACCATGTTTCCTGTACAGCCTGTAGAATGATGAGCCAATTCAATCTCTTTTCTTTATAAATTACTCACACTCAGATATTTCTTGACAGCAATCAAGAATGGCCTAACACGTGGCGCATCAGAATTTATACTACAAAACTACTTTCAAAGAAGACAACTACTTATAAGTAATATTTACAAAGGATTATTTGGGTCATGAGTGCTATAAGTAAATATAATTTCAAACAACAAATATTGAATAATGTTTACTGAAAGTTTATTTTTACTTACTTTTTTCATTCAAAATAAGCAAGTTACTTTTAACTTAATATGAAGATTTAATCTTTGTTATTTGTCATGTTAGCTGTCAGATCTTTGAGTTATTCAATTACATAGCGAAAATACTTAGTTAATAAAAGTTTAATACAATTTAAGTTTCCCAAGACTATTAAATCTCACATCTGTAATGTATCAAAAAGCACATGTCATTGTTAGATATTCAAAGGTAATCTGCAGGTATTGTACAATAATAATAAATGTAAATCTCTGTAGGCATGAAAGGTTATACAAAAATCAGGTAGAACATTTTATGTCAAGATGTCCAAAGTTTATCTTAACACAGCAGTTTCTGTGCAACTAATATAATATCCAAAAAAATGAATTAAGCACACATAACATATAGGCACTTGTTTCTAATAATGGGTGCTAGAAAGCTTAGCTAGATAAAATAGAAATGTGCTAAATGTGTGCACTTGGTTGATTTAAATATTTGGCATATGTCTCTACTGTAGTTTTTATGGCATATTGGAAGATGAACTTGGTTGTTTAAGTACAAATATGGGTTGGCCATGACAAAATAGAAATTTGATAAATTATACTGAATGCTGTTAAGGTATAATGAAGTTCAATCTACTTAAAACAGATGAAGATTTTCTCACAAATTAACACTTCTTTAAAAAATATCTGTTCATTCTTCTTATAAGACATTTACTTTCCTTAAGGATAGATGGTTTTGACTAAATTGATACATATTGGGTTGCTTAAAAATTAAATTTTGATTCTAGGAATGATATACAAGAATTTCAAAATATTACATATGACATACTCAAATGATCAACAAATAAGCAGTAACATTCATTCCTAATAAAAATTTTGTAAGGATTGACAATATGTTACTTAAATATGATTGACATGGTAGTGAACTAAATTACTCAATTTTCAAGTTCTGGGCCTTTTTTTATGCAGAAAGTTATTGGCCATAGCCATTTGATTAGAAAAATTAACTTGGTTTTTTACCAAGTTTTGGTAAAAACTTGGAAAAATTAAAGAAGGTTTTAGTGTTATTGCAGCTTAGCAACAATGTTAAAGAGATTATAACTCATTAATATTATATATTAATTAATTAATTTTAATGTGATATGTGATTGATGTAATATTAATATTAATATTATATTACATTAATATTAATGTAATATAATGTAATTAAATGTAAATTCACTCAATCTTGTTAAAAAGAAAGCAACTGAGACAGAAGTAGAGAATGAAAAAGAAAGGGAAGGAAAGGGAATAAAAGGAGGGAGGAAGGAAGAAACACAAGGAAGAATGGGAAGGATGGAGAGGAAAGAAGAGAAAGGAAACTTTAATACTGAAAAACCATATAAATTCTAACTGGAATTTTAGATTATCATCCAACTATATAATTTAACAAAGAAAAGCACAAACACAAAAAATATTTTCTTTATCTGAAAATATCTCATAGGTGTTTGTGAAAATGTTTAAAGATTACATTAATAAAAACATGGAAGTTATGTAATGATTATAACAACAAAGTCTGTGTAACCAGGTTGTGTTTCAGCAGTAAAACCAGAGTATACATTTTGCTAAAGACGTACTCTTTGGAACTTCTTGTCTTTTCTATTTCTACTCACTTCCTAGATAATATTGTTTACTTACATGGTTTCAATAGTGTCTCTAGTCTAGTGACTCCCAGATTTTAATCTTCACCTGAATACGTGACATCTCCACTTGGAAATTTTAAAAGTTTTTCAAATTAAATACGTCTAAAGAGAATGCTTAGATTTTCATCCACTCCACATACACACTGCCTGTCATCCAAATATTCCTTTTTTTTTTTCTTTTGAGGTGGAGTCTCACTCTGTCATCAGGCTGGAGTGCAGTGGAGCGATCTCAGCTCACTGCAACCTCTGCCTCCCGGATTCAAGCGATTCTCCTGCCTCAGCCTCCGAAGTAGCTGGGACTACAGGCGTGCGCGACTACACCCGGTTAATTTTTTATTTGTTATTTTTTTGTATTTTTAGTAGAGACAGGGTTTCACCATCTTGGCCAGGATGGTCTCGATCACCTGACCTCCTGATCCACCTGCCTCGGCCTCCCAAATTGCTGGGATTACAAGCATGAGTCATCACGCCTGGCCAAATGTTCATTTTTAAATCATTCTTTTTCTTAGTTTTTGACACTATTCACTGAATTGCTTAGATTAAAAACCTTGGGGATTCTCACTATTTCTTTATTTTTATCATATTCATATCCAATTTATTTGTAACTTCTTTCAAGTCTAGCTTCAAAATCTATCTCAAATCAAATGACTTATCACCTCCATCACAATCATACATAAACCAAACTAGCAAGTTCCAGTGTTCTGCCAAACTACTGCACAAGCTTTTTTGCTAGTCTTTGTCTCCTAAAATCTATACATCTAACAACAATCAATAAATCTAATTTTATCTCTTTAGTTAAACTGTGTATTAACTTCTTGCAATATTCAAAATAAAATTAAAATCAGAAATAATGCGTATCAGCCTTACTAATCTCATAGGTAATTTTCCAAATTTATTTTTCCTACTCAGTTATAACCAAAATAAATTTATTTATGTTCTCAACTTCTCTAGTTTGTTCTTCTCTTAGAAACTCTACATGTGTTGATCCCTGTTCTGAGAAGGCATTTCTACCAAATATTCACAAACATAACACTCTTATTTTACTCTGGTTTCTGCCTACATGTGACTTCTTCAAAAAGCCTATCTTGAACAACCCATGTAAAAAAAAAAAGTGGTTCCTCACTGTTTATCCATTTACACTGCTTAATGTGTCATTTCTTTTAATGTTGACTTTTTTGTGTGCTTTAATTTGTTATTGTACATACATCTCTCTCAATAAAACGTGAACTCTGGAAAAACAGGAAATTTTCTTATCCTTACTGTACATCTGGTACCTAAAAGAAAGGCTCATAAATATTTAGGATTCATAAACACTTGCTGTTGTATATTGTAATTAATATATTTTAGTCTACCCAAAACTCAAATAAAAGTAAGAAAATAATATGGACATTTATTATACCCATAAAGAGTTCAAAAATCATAACTCATACCTGACATTAACTTTTATATTAATGGGGAAACTTGTCATTTTTGTTTTCAAAAGATAATTGTTGCTTTGGATTACATGGTTAATCATTTTGGAGGGTTTTGCTAATAGGAAGCACATACAGAAATAAAGTTAATCTAACAATCATTTCAATAATCATAATGAGAAAGAGCATTACTCATTGATTTAAGAATACTTTATTCAATGTCTCTTATGTTTCAGACACTGTTCTAGGTGGTAGGACACAGTAGGGATCACCACACAACAATTTGCCTTAAGAATGTTATGTACTATTGAAAGGAAACAGACAAACAAACCCGATTAAAATGAACATATCTAGTTTGCTAGAAAGTGATAGAGCTATGGAGAAAAACCTAAATTGCAATATATGCAGATCCTGAAGAGCAGCTTCATGAGATTGAATTGTTAGGCTTCTGAAAAATTACTGTTCCAATTGTCAAATAAGTGTTCAGTGTTATACGGGTCTAATTCTTAACTATTACACAGAACAGTTAACCGAATTAAATTTCAAAAGGCAGTGCCAGAGATTGGTTCATTCTGGGAAGTACCATTTTCTGAATGCATCATTAGGGAGTATGTACATCAGGACTCACTACTTAACTTCCAAGGAATCAAATTCAGATGAGAAGACACTGGGACTCCTAGAGCTTGCTGGCTTTGAGCCACCTAACCTAATCAGCTTCACCAGAATGGTAAATTATAATGGCTATGAGTAGTAGAGTAAACTGAAATTAGCGAATTAATAGACAATAAAGTGATTTATCTCTCCTCTTTAAACAGATAAATTGACAGAAATATCATGAAAAATTACTTTTAGTCTCACACTTTTGTCGTAGCTTTTGGGAGTGATAAAAACATTTCCTCGGAATGTTATTTCAATGTTTTTACTTTTGCAGCAATACAGCAACCAAAATACCTATTGTTTGGCATTGCTGTACTTAGAACTAATAGATAGGTATACCTGACAAAGCACCATTTCAAAGTAAACCACATTAGACTTCTGTTAATCTTTGTCACATAAACAGGTCTTGTGGTACTTGGGGTTTACTGTACAATTCTGAAGATTTTTGCTCAATATATCTTCCATGTATTTTAGTTTTCAAGCAAATATGAGATACGAATTTTTGTGTCCGCTCTGATTTCCTTGAGGAGTGGTTTGTAGTTCTCTTTGAAGAGGTCCTTCACATCCCTTGTTAGCTGTATTCCCAGGTATTTTATTATCTTTGTAGCAAAAAGAAACTATCATCAGAGTGAACAGACAATCCACAGAATGGGAGAAAATGTTTGCAACCTATCCATCTGACAAAGATGTACTATCCAGCTTCTACAAGGAACTTAAGCAAATTTACAAGAAAAAAATAAACAACCCCATTGAAAAGTAGGCAAAGGACATGAACAGACAATTCTGAAAAGAAGACATTAATGCAGCCAACAAAAATATGAAAAAACCTCAACATCTCTAATCATTAGAGAAATGCAAATCAAAACCACAATGAGGCACCATCTTGCACCAGTCAGAATGGCAATTATTAAAAAGTCAAGAAACAACAGATGCTAGTGAGGTTGCAGAGAAAAAGGAATGCTTATACACTGTTGGTGTGAGTGTAAATTAGTTCAAACATTTTGGAAGGCAGTGTGGTGATTCCTCAAAAATCTAGAACCAGAAATACCATTGACCCAACAATCCCATTATGGGGTATATACCCAAAGGAATGTAAATCATTCCCTTATAAAGATACATGCACATGTATGTTCACTTCAGCACTATTAACAAGAGCAAAGACATGGAATCAATCCAAATGCCCACCAAAAAATAGACTGGATAAAGAAAATGTGGTACATATGCATCATGGAATACTATGCAGCCACAAAAAGGAATGAGATCATGTCCTCTGCAGGGACATGGATGGAGCTTGAAGTTCTTATCCTCAGCAAACTAACACAGGAACAAAAAAACAAACACTGCATGTTCTAACTTATAAGTGGGAGCTGAACAATGAGAACACATGGACACATACGGGATACGGGGGGAACAGTACACACTTGGGCCTTTTGGGGACAGTAGGGGTAAGGAGAGCATCAGGAAAAATGGCTGATGGATGCTGTGCTTAATACCTACCTGATGGGTTGATCTGTGCAGCAAACCACTATGGCACACCTTTACCTATGTAACAAATCTGCAAATCCTGCACATGTACCCCAGAACTTAAAATAAAAGTTAAACAGTAAAACAACAACAACAAAAAATTTTAAGTTATTATCACATTCTGTTTGGTAGTCAGGTAGAACACCAGAGCATGGATTGTTGACAAGATTCACACACACAGTAATTCGGTATGGTGAGATTTGAAAATGCTGTTTTGTAGTGGATTTTGATTATCTTATTTTGTAAGGGTAATGATATCTACATTAAAAAGAAGAAGAGGCGTTTACTACTAAAAGCAGAGAAGCCCCTCACTGGAGCTCGAGGACAAGGGGCTGTGGTTTTCCACTGGGCTTCTGAGATTGTACCTGAATGCAGGGCACCCTAGAAGACACTTCTAGAAATTACTGGTCATTTATGATTTTGTGCATCCTCTCAATTGGTTTGGCTACTCTGGCCTAATAACCCGTTACGGTTTAGTAGAATTTTGCATTATGTCTTAATAAAAATTTCCAAGACAGAGCTTGTCTGTGGTTATACAGAGATTTTTTAAGCAATCTTTTTCAAAAGCTACCAGCCAGTCTAATACCTGCAATCCACAGGTTCAGAGTGAATGAAGCCCAGTGGAAATCCACCATGACTTGTCCTTAAGCTCCAGTGAGGGACTTGCCTGCCTTTGGTAATAAACACCTCAAAAAAAAAAAAAAAAGGAGAAAAGAAAAAGAAAATATTTGTTATTAAACATAATACCTACCCTGTGTCGAAACTATACAAAGCCTATTTTAATAAAAATCCCAAAACAGTAAAAATGATAGAAATATCCTTACTTAAAAAATTAAAGAAAACAAGATTAAGAAAAGTTAAGTGTTTTGTCTAACATTTAAAAACTAGTAATTGGTAGTGTTTTATTAAGTCCTGACGCTGATTATCTATACTACAGAACCTGCCTCTCTGTTTAGATACTATGTACTCAATTATTTCTCTTGAGCATCCTGCAGTTCTGATTATTTCTGAAATTTGAAAGAATGATGAATAAGAAAACATGCTTTATGATGTAATTTATATCTAAAAGAAACTAAAAAATATTAGCCTGTGTTAAAGCAAATATACTTAAAAATATATGACAGACTAATAATAAAGAACCTAAATGATACCAATTATTCTTAATTATATTTGATTTCTGTTGCATCTTTTATATAAGGAATAATGAAGAATGAAGTTTATATAAGGAAGAATGAAATATGCAACAGAAATCATAACTGACATAATACAAATAATTGATTGGTGTAATAATTTAAACTGCCACTCAGTACATCATTTGGAACCAAAATTAGTCTTAACCATTTAAATTAATGGGCCAAAGAAGAAGTCATGTCAGAAAATCACTAATGTATTGATTTACCTGGAGATATTCTTACATTATATATGGTGAAATATACATTCACGTATTATAATAAGAATTATTATAGTATTTATCAAAATAATAGCTACTCACTAAAGAGAGAATTACTATATGTTCATTGAATTTTAACTGATTTTTCTTCTGGTTAATTAAAGAGGAGCCTCAAATTTAAATAAAGTTATCTTCAACTGCAGAAGGATGTTAAAATATTCTCACTGAGACCAATATTTAA
Source organism: Homo sapiens (assembly GCF_000001405.40). NCBI lineage: Eukaryota > Metazoa > Chordata > Mammalia > Primates > Hominidae > Homo > Homo sapiens. The sequence goes on along the minus strand of NC_000013.11, from coordinate 89,615,613 downwards.
TATAAAATGGAAGAGCCAACCTCAATGGAATTCAGCAGGTTTTCCTAACCAATACCATATCTTCTAGCTATTATGGTGCCTTAAAATTTTCACTCAATAATATCTTTGTGTATTGAAAGCCTACCCCTTTAGTCTTTACTAGGAGACAGTTATGGCCAAAATCTAGTAAATAATGCTAACTAGATGTGCCATCTAGTAAAAAGATGGCACAACTCACCCTTTATAGCCTGCTCTCCCTACAATGCCAATCTGGAGCTACAAACTTTATACAAAATTTATATATTTAATTATTCAAAACAAAACCTCCTGTTGATTCCTCAGTTCCACTGAAAGGGAGATTCTGTTATTGATAAATTACTTCAATTTAAATGCAATTAAATAAAAATTATCAATGGCCTGTGTAGAGATCAACTTCTGACTGGTGTTAAAAATAATTCACGGTGATCAGTACATTATAAAACCTAAGATACAAATCATACATAGAATTTTAAAAAATTATATGTGTTTCAATTTTTGCATTGACTTGGCATAATTAGAGTTATAAAGTTAATCTGACGTTACAAAAGTATGTATAATGGTCACTCACTACACTTCCAGTTCTTTTATATGTTTTTCTTTAGATTTTTTTTCTAAATATTTAGTCCTTTTCTTTCCAAAAGAAATCAGATGGTGTAATATTCAATTCCAATTGACCATATTGCAATGTATATTTAATTCTTTAAATCCTGTTTAAAAACAAGATTTAAATAGGGGATTAAAGAATCAAGAAAGGGGAAATCTCAAGTATATTAAAACTCAGAAAAGGTATAAGATGATTTAATTAAGCAAATAAAAACATGATGAAATGTTATATCAAATACCTGTATAGGGCAGGCACAATGGCTCACCACTGTAATACCCGCATTTTGGGAAGCAGAGGCTGGCAGAATGTCTGAGGTAGAAGCTCAAGACCAGCTTAGGCAATATGAGAAAACCCTGTCTGTATAAAAAATACAAACATTAGCTGGGCATGGTGGGGCATGCCTGTGATCCCAGCTACTGGTTACTCTGGAGGCGGAGGTAGGACGATCACCTGAACCCAGGACGTCAAGGCTGTAGTAAGCTGTAGTAATGGTGCCACTGCACTCCAGCCTGGGAGACAGTGAAACCCTGTCCCAAAAACAAGCAAATAAACAAAAATATTTGCATAGAGTCTGATCTGAATCATATTATTTAGGCATACTTTACACAAAAACAAAAGTGTTCTATATTTTATAGGTGAAGTATCTATTTTTCATTTGCAGCTCTCTTAACTATAGGGATATCATTGTAGGAAATTTAGATTAATTTTCAACATATGTATAATTTGTAAAATAATATGCGTATTTTAATCATCAATATTCAGAACTTTTCACCCATGTACAACATATCTGTTGCCTTAACTACATAAATGACCTTAAATGCCACCTAAGAAAAATGTATACAGTTTTTATGTAGTTTCAATTCACATGGTAGTAAAACAATTTGTTTTCTGTGTTTCTGTATTGAATTATGCAAATAGGATACAATACAATTTTTAAATCTTTAAGATTTTTTAGAAATACTGGAAAGAAGAAATTGTTATATACTATATCTAGACAAAAGATTCACCAGAAGTATTTTGTTGAACTCTAGCTCTGTGTAATAATAAGTGTTGTGTAGTAAAGGCAACCTTAGTGAAATAAGTTTGAAAAATTAGTCCTCACAATAAGTCATCCTTCTTGAGGCAAAATTAAGGCTTGCAGAAGCCTGGAGATAAATCAATTAAATACATAATTCAACAACAACAACAACAACAAGAAATGTTATATTTAGTCCAAAAGGGTTTTTTCCCTCAATGCAACTGCATTTTTGAAAACACCATGTAAGAATCGATTAAGATTATTGAATAAATTAACTTTTATGTTGTAGAAAATGAAAACCTGATTTTCATATCTGTGGGAAAGACCATATCATGATACAGTGAAAAAAGTGAAATATTACAAAATAACAGTATCAGAGCAAAGTACTACATTGGTCAGATTGCTGAATATATATATATATATAAAGTAATATAATTAAGAATAAATGGTGTCATTTAGCTTCTTAATTATTATTAGTGTGTCATATTTTAAGGTATATTTGCTTTAACACAGGATAAATATGTTTTAGTTATGAATTACATCATAAACTACTTGTTTCTTATCCATGATTCTTTCAAACTTTAGAAATATTCAGAACTGTGAGATGTTCAAGAGAAATAATTGAGTATGTAATACCTAAATAGAGAGTCAGTAGTGTAGATAATCAGCTTCAGGACATAATAAAACACTACCAATTACTAGTTTTTGAACATTAGACACACCACTTAACTTTCCTTAATCTCTGTTTCTTTAACTTTTAAATAGGGATATTTCTATCATTTTTACTGTTTTGGGATTTAAGTTATTAAAATAGGTTTAATATAGTTTCAATACAGGGTAGGTATTATGTTTAATAACTGCAAATATTTTCTTTTTCTTCTTTTTTTTAAGACAGGGTCTCACTCTGTCACCTAGGCTGGAGTGCAGTGGTGCAGTCCTGGTTCATTATAGCTTCAGCCTGCTAGGCTCAAGCGATGCTCCTCCCTTAGCCTCCAAGGACCTGGGACCACAGGCCACAAATATTTTCTGATGCATTTGTACCTTTTATAACACAGATTTTTCATAACACTGTCATTTAATTTTACTTACTTTCTATAATCACAAATTAAATCCTTCATTAGACTAGACAGTAAATTAACTTGAAATATACAAGGAAAATAATTATGAGGTCAATAACAATAAACTAATATTTTGTGATAATATTCACACTTAGATCTGTACTCTCAAAAATGATTGTATATTTATCCTTTAAGGGTAAAAAACATGCTATTATTCTTTTCACTGCTATCAAACTGTCTGACTCCTATCTTGCCCTGAGAAGGGAAAATAAGGAGAAGGTAGGGGGTGTGCAATCCAAATGTCACAAACTTGGATACTATTTAATAATTTACTTAATCACTTACTTACTGTTCTAAGATGACAGTGAGAGATAGGACTACCTGGATTTCCTAGGCCAACTAAGAATCCCTAAACCTAGCTGGGAAGGTGACCACATCCACCTTTAAACACGGGGCTTGCAACTTAGCTCACACCTGACCAATCAGGTAGTAAAGAGAGCTCACTAAAATGCTAATTAGGCAAAAACAGGAGGTAAAGAAATAGCCAATCATCTATCGCCTGAGAGCACAGCAGAGGGAAAATGATCAGGATATAAACCCAGGCATTCTAGCCGGCAATGGCTACCCTTTTTGTGTCCCCTCTCTTTGTGTGGGAGCTCCCTTTTTGGGTCCCCTCCCTTTGTATGGGAGCTCTGTTTTCACTCTATTAAATCTTGCAACTGAACTATCTTCTGGTCTGTGTTTGTTACGGCTCGAGCTGAGCTTTCGCTCGCCGTCCACCACTGCCGTTTGCCGCCGTTGTAGACCCACTGCTAACTTCCATCCCTCTGGATCCGGCAGGGTGTCTGCTGTGCTTCTGATCCAGTGACGCACCCATTGCCACTTCTGATAGGGCTAAAGGCTTGCCATTGTTCCTGCATGGCTAAGTGCCCAGGTTCGTCCTAATTGAGCTGAACACTAATCACTGGGTTCCCGTTTCTCTTCTGTGACCCACAGCTTCTAATAGAGCTATAACACTCACAGCATGGCCCCAGATTCTAATACTTGGGATCTGTGAGGCCAAGAACCCCAGGTCAGAGAACGTGAGTCTTGCCACCATCTTGGAAGCCACCCGCCATTTTGGAAGTGGCCCGCCACCATCTTGAGAGCTCTGGGAGCAAGGACCCCTGGTAACAACAGGCTCTCCTGAATATTTTCTCTTCTGAAATTGTTCTTTTTCTAGCATATTTGCAATTCTTTGTATCCCCATGTATTAATTTTCTATTGCTGAACAACAAATCACCACAAACTTAGGATCTTATAAACTTCACACATTTATTAACTCACAGTACTTGTGGGTTACCAATCTGAATATGGTCCTCTGCAAAGTCACAATCAAGATGTCAGTTCAGACCGTGTTCTCATCTGAGGGCTTGACTGACACAGGGTACAATTCCAACTCAATCAGGTTATTAGCACAATTCATTTTCTTACAGCTGAAGGATTCATGGCAGTTCTATTTCTCAAAGTCAGCAATAAAGAGAGAGAGAGGGGCAGTGGGAGGGAGGAAGAGGCTGCAGCAAGTTGGCTAGCAAAACTGAGTTCTATATAACACAGCAGAATCATAGGAGTGACATCCCATCACCTCTGCCATATTTTGTTGGTTAGAAGCAAGTCACATGTTCTGCTCCCACTCAAAGGCAGGAGATTATGCAAGAGATTAGAAATGAACACCTAGAGGTCAGCCTGTCACACCCAGTTGTCACAGAGGAGGATTTAGGAGTGACCCACATGTCTTTAGCATCTTTCGCATTTGGAGAAAACAGAATTATTTAGGCTCATTGGCAAACAATACTGAGTCATAGAGACTAAATGTCTTATCTCCCTTCCTCCAGGATCCTGATGAAATGATTTAGGTGTTTAAAATTTTACTTCCCTCTTTGAAGGATTAGAGTTCTCATAAAGAGAAAGAAGGTAATTGTGAAAAATAATACAATCTAATACTAAAGAGTACATCTATCTCAGTCCTAGGCCTGGAGAGTGGACATTCCCAACACCTCATGTAACAGTTTGTGTGTCAGTGATACTTTCTACACTAGTTATTGTCTATTGACACTCAGTCTTCACCCCCACCCCCTGATATTATCCTAGTCTCACCCTACTGCAAGGACTGAAGGGCTAAAATCTACATTTGCAGATTCTCTTTCCACTAAGGTTTGGGATGTTATTTAGGTTGTTCAAAGAAATAAGCCCAAGGTGGAAAGGCAAAGGGAGGCAAATGCTGTTTTTCCCAGGCTGCATGTCTGGTGTTCTCTTGTGCGACAGATAGGCTCTATGTTTCAATGTGTAAGAACCAGCTTTACTGGTGTAGGGCATCTGTGAAATTAGGAAAGGTTTCCTGCAGTGTCATGAGGGGTTTCAACAGCTGCTTGTTCACTTCCAGATTGCAGCAATTGCTGCATTGTCATGAACTTGAAACCTAGTGAGAGAACGCTGGCTTCAAACCTAAATCTTGCAACAATTATAATCTGTTTGAAAAGCTATAGTAGTTTTTGTTTCCTGCATTAAAACTTGCATCAGCATCTTCAGAATGCAAGTCTAGCCTGTTTAAGTCATCTATAAATTATATATTGCTTTGCCAGCTACCTGTTTATTATGAGTGAAAATGGCTATAGTGTTTCTGGCTTTTCATTGTTCAGTGAAACAAGCACTTTCTTTTTAACCTAACACCTACACAGTTAAACTTTACGTATATTTAATGTTACTTATGATTTAATATAGAATAATTTGCCACTTCCACTGTTTTACACATACATTCATACTGTGTGGATGATTTTCATAAAGAGTTAGCAAGAATTTCATATATATGAGACTTAAGAAAAGCAAACATATTGTGTATGTTAGTGATTTAATATTTTTAATAAAAAAGCTAATTTTAAAAGTCATAAACAATGTTACAATAATTTTTGCCTCAGACTGTGGCCCAAAATGGATGTAAAACCTCAAATTCATACTGCAACAAAGTGTTTAGGAAATAAAAATCTACAACATGAAAAAGTCTATTAAATTCGTTTTAATAAGAGTAGTCGAGATATACCTAATGCTAGATGACGAGTTAGTGGGTGCAGCACACCAGCATGGCACATGTATACATATGTAACTAACCTGCACAATGTGCACATGTACCCTAAAACTTAAAGTATAATAATAAATAAAAAAAAAACAAACAAAACAAAACAAAAAAAAAGAGTAGTCAGAAGACAAATGATCATATAGCACTTTCAACTAAACATAGATATATTGCAGTACGTTTAAATTTTCTGAAGAAAAATTACTTGTACAAAGGAGATTCTGAGTCAAATGACAAGGGGAAGAAAGCTGTAAGCATATAGCACCACTTATGTTATTAATCTGAATGACAGGGAAGAAGTAAAAAGGATAACAATAGATGCTGACATTGCATAGTGTGAGCCATGAATTAATTTGCTCTGACAATGACACCTTTCAAAGGACAGTTACTGGCCATAAACCACAATATTTTGCTCAGAATATAAAATACAAATATAATAAAATCATTTCTTATTATATTAAATATTACAAGATTATCTAGGGAATATTTATTTCTCTTTTATGTTTGGGAGTATATGTGACACTGTGGATAACTAGAAGTTCTAATTTCTTATTTTCTTACTGTCTCAGATTTGAAACATTTAGTTATACTGACCTACAAAAGTGATTTCATTCTAAAAAAGACTTGCCTATAAAACAATAGCTGAAGCAAATTTGTATTATTTTAAACATCTGCATTTATGAAATTGCCCTAGGGTGAAGGAAATTTCTGTATTTTTGAAACAGAATATATTTAATATAGTGAATTTAGGGACATAGGCTTCCCCATCAAAATCAAAATGCTATCATAAATAGAGAAGATAGAAATTGATTGTACATTTCATTCATTTACAAATTTACCCTAGGAGGTTTAGGTTGGCTCAGATCACCTTTTGTTTCTTTCATATCTGGCAACAAAGGTGGGGCAAATATTTAAGCTCACCTGTTTTATCAGCACATATTCAGATGGGGGAAATTTTCTTGCCTGATTATATGTATATTTGCAACAGCTTTCACAGTTACTGTGCATATTCTCATGAAGAAAGGCCTCCTTCATTTGTCTACTGCTCTGCCAGAGAGTAATATTCTCCTAACCAAAACATTTTTCCTATCCAAAAATATCACTAGCATCATCAGCAGGGTGACAGGAGATAGATCAGGAATCAAAGAAAGTAAGGGATTACATCAGCCTCAGAACACCACCACCTAATGAAATACAGTATTGATTTAAAGTGAAATTCAGCACCCACAATGACCTTAATCTTACTGAGTTTCACTTTGTTTTGTCCTAGAGAAAAAAATGAATAACAGAAAAAGTATCTGTATAGGTACTTGCAACAAGTTGGAAAATAGTGCCCCAGAAACATTTGCCATGGAGTCCCACATGAATCTGTGATTTTTTTTTTGTTAAAATATTCTAAAAAGGGTATGGACATATGATACAATTTAACTGTTTCCCCACCCAAATCTCATCTTGAACTGTAGTTCCCATAATCCCCACATGTTGTGGGAGGGACCTGGTGGAAGGTAATTGAATCAGGGAGGCCATTACCCTCTTGCTGTTTTTGTGATAGTGAGTTAGTTCTCATGAGATCTGATGGTTTTATAAGGGGCTTTTCTCCCTTTGCTTGGCACTTTTCCTTCTTGTAGCCATGTGAAGATGGACATGTTTGCTTTCCCTTGTGCCATGATTGAGGCTTCCTCAGCCTCGCAGAGGTGTGAGTCAATTAAACTTCCTTCCTTTATAAATTATCCAGTCTCCAGTATTTCTTCATAGCAGCATGAAAACAAACTAATACAGTAAATTTGTACTGGGAAGTGGGGCGCTGCTGTAAAGATACTGCAAAATGTAGAAGTAATTTTGGAACTGGGTAACAAGCAGAGGTTGGAACAGTTTGGAGGGCTCATAAGAAGAGAGAAAGTTGTGGGAAAGTTTGGAACTTCCTAGAGACTTGTTGAGTGGCTTTAACCAAAACTCTGACAGTGATAGGGACAATGAAGTTCAGGCTGAGGCGGTCTCCAACAGAGATGAGGAACTTGTTGGGAATTGAAATAAAGGTGATTCTTGCTATGCTTTAGCAAAGAGACTAGCGACATTTTGCCCCTCCCTTAAAGATCTGTGGAACTTTGAACTTGAGAACTTGAGCAATTATTTAAGGTATCTGGTGGAAGAAATTTCTTTTTTTGTTTTTTGAAACAGAGTCTTGCTCTGTCGCCAGGCTAGAGTGCAGTAGGGCAATCTCTGCTCACTGCAACCTCTGCTTCCTGAGTTCAAGTGATTCCCCTGCCTCATCCTCCCGAGTAGCTGGGACTACAGGCCTGCACCACCATGGCTGGCTAATTTTTTGTATTTTAGTGGAGATGGGGTTTCACCATGTTCGCTAGGAATGTCTTGATCTCCTGACTTCTTGATCTGCCCTCCTTGGTCTCCCAAAGTGCTGGGATTACAGGTGTGAGCCACTGAGCCCAGCTGTGGTGGAAGAAATTTCTAAGCAACAAAGTGTTTGAGAGGTAACATAGGTACTCTTAAAAACATTCAGTTTTATGTATTCACAAAGATATGGTTTGGAATTGGAACTTATGTTTAAAAGGGAAAAAAAGCTTAAAAGTCTAGAAAATTTGCTGCCTGAGGATGCAATAGAAAAGAAAAACCCATTTTCTGAGGAGAAATTCACACAGGCTGCAGAAATTTGCATAAATAATGAGGAGTAAAATGTTAATTGCCAAAACAATGGTAAAAATGTCTTCAGGACATGTCAGAGATCTTCATGGCTGCCCCTCCCATCACAAGTCTGGAGGTCCAGGAGAAAAAAAAAAAATGGTTTCCTGGACTGGGTCCAGGGCCTTGCTGTTCTGTGCAGCCTCAGGACTTGTTGCCCTGCCTCTCAACTGTGTCTAAGAGGGGCCAACATAGAGTTCAGGCTGTTGCTTCAGAGAAGACAAACCCCAAGCCTTGGTGGCTTACACATAATACTTGGCCTGCAGGTGCACAGAAGTCAAGAACTGAGGTTTGGTAAGCTCCACCTAGATTTTACAGGTTGTATGGAAATGCCTGGATGTCCAGGCAGAAGTATGCTCTGGGGCAGAGCCCTCATGGAGTTCTGCTAGGGCAGTGCAAAAGTGAAATGTGTGGTTAGAGCTCCATACAGAATCCCCACTGGGGCACTGCCTAATGGAGCTGTGAGAACAGGGCCACCATCCTCCAGATCCCAGAATAGTAGATGCACCAACAGCTTACACTGTGTGCCTGAAAATTCTGCAACACTCAACACCAGCCTGTGGATGCAGCAGAGTCCAGCCTGTGGACTCTACCCTGCAAAGCCCCAGGGGTGGAGCGCCCAAGTCCATGGGAGCCCACCTTTTGCTCCTATGCTGAAAAAAAGGTGATCAGCCTGACGTGGATGTGAGACATGGAGTAAAAGGAGATCATTTTGGAGCTTTAAGGTTTAATGACTGCCCTACTGGATTTCAGACTTGCATGGAGCCTATAACCCCTTTGTTTTGACCAATTTCTCCCATTTTGATTGTGTATATTTACCCAATGCCTGTACTCACGTAGTATCTAGGAAGTAACTAACTTGCTTCTAATGTTACAGGCTCATGGGTGGAAGTCACTTGTCTCAGATGAGACTTTGGCCTTGGACTTTTGAGTTAATGCTGGAATGAGTCAAGACTTTGAGGGACTGTTGGAGTGGTGTGATTGTGGTTTGAAATATGAGGACATGAGGTTTGGGAGGGGCCAGAGGCGGAATGATATGGGTTTGGCTGTGTCCCCACTCAAATCTCATCTTGAATTTTAGTTCCCATAAACCCCACGTGTTGTGGGAGGGACCAAGTGGGAGGTAATTGAGTCATGGAGGCAGTTACCCTCATGCTGTTCTTGTGATAGTGAGCAAATTCTCATGAGATCTGATGGTTTAATAAAGGCCTTTTCCCCCTGTGCTCGGCACTTCTTTTTCCTGGCACCATGTGAAGAAGGACATGTTTGTTTCACCTTCTACCATGATTGTAACTTTTCTGAGGCTTCCTCAGTCCTGTGGAACTGTGAGTCAATTAAGCCTCTTTTCTTTATAAATTATCCAGTCTCGGGTATTTTTTTCATAGCTGTGTGGAAACAAACTAATATAATTTGCCAGCAGAAAACACCAATACTGAGCCCTTGATATGGCACCTTTCCTCAGGGTGGTCAGCCACCTACTTAGTGGCAGGTTGATTATTTTGGATCTCTTCTATCATGGAAAGGGCAGTGGTTTGTCCTCACTGGAATAGATACTTACTCTGCATATGCCTTTGCCTATCCTTGGCAGTGCTTCTGCCAAGACTACCATCCATGGACTCACAGAATGTCTGATTCAGTGTCATGGTATTCCACACAACGTTGTCTCCAATGAAGGCACTCACTTTATGGCTAAAGAAGTGTGGCAGTGGGTTCACACTCATGGAATTCACTGGTGTTACCATGTTCCCTACCATCCTGTAGCAGCTGGATTGATAGAACAGTGGAATGGCCTTTTGAAGTCACAATTACAATGCCAGCTAGGTGATAATACTTTGTAGCGCTGTGGCAAAGTTCTCCAGAAGGCTGTGTATGCTCTGAATCAGCATCCAATATATGGTACTCTTGCTCCTATAGCCAGGATTTATGGGTCCAGGATTCAAAGGGTGGAAGTGGAAGTGGCACCACACAACATAACCTCTAGTGATCCACTAGCAAAAGTCTTTCTCCTGTTCCTGTGACATTACATTCTGCTGGCCTAGAGGTCTTCATTCCAGAGGAAAGAATGTTGCCACCAGGAGACACTACAATGATTTCATTAACCTGGAGTTTAAAATTACCACCTGGTTACTTTGTGCTCCTCCTACCTTTAAGTCAACAGGCTAAGGATGGAGTTACAGTGTTGGCTGGGGTGACTGACCCAGACTATAATGATGAAATCAGTCTACTACTCCACAATGGAGGTAAGGAAGAGTATACATGCAATACAGGAGATCATTAGGGAGTCTTTTAGCATTACCATGCCCTGTAGATTCAGGTCATTGGGAAACTACAATAGCCCAATCCAGGCAGGACTACAAATGGCCCAGACCTTTCAGGAATTAATGTTTGGGCCACTCCACCAGATAAAAAACCACCACCTGCTGAGGTGCTTGCTGAAGGAAAGGGAATACAGAATGGATAGTAGAAGAAGGTAGTTATCAATACCAGCTACGACCATGTGACCAGTTACAAAAACAAGGACTGTAATTGTCATGAGTATTTTCTCCTCATTTTGTTAAGAACATGTTTGTGCTTTATACACTTATACTAAGAAAATGTTTATTTTTTTCCTTTATTTTTCCTTTATCATGGGACATAAGATTTATTGACTTCATATCAGCATTTCAGTGTTGTTAACTTTATGTAATAGATTTTAGGTGAAGGCTTAGTGCAATTTCAGCTGTATGAAGGATAGCTATATTATATTAGGTGTAATTATGACCTCATTGTTGTCTTTATTTGAAGATTATGTATGATATGATAAGTTTTGTATGGGTTCAATTTGACAAGCAGTGGACTTGTGATGGTTTATATTGATTGTCAGCTTGATTGAATTGAAGCATGCAAAGTATTGTTACTATTGTTACCGGGTGTGTCTGTGAGGGTGTTGCAAAAGGAGATTAACATTTGAGTCATTGGACTGGGAGAGGCAGACCCATCCTCATTTTGGGTCTAATCAGCTGCCAGCACGGCTAGAATAACGCAGGCAGAAGAAAGTAGAATGAGCAGACTTGCTGAGTCTTCTGGACCTCATCTTTCTCCCATGCTGAATGCTTCTTACCCTCGAACATTGGACTCCAAGTTCTTCAGCTTTTGGATTCTTGGACTCACCCCAGTGGTTTTCTAGGGGCTCTCTGGCCTTTTGCCACACACTGAAGTCTGCAGTGTCAGCTTCCCTGCTCCTGAGGGTTTGGGACACCGATTGGCTTTTTTGCTCCTCAGCTTGCAGACAGCCTCTTATGGGACTTCACTTTGTGATCGTGTGAGTCAATCCTCCTGATAAACTCCCCTTCATATATACATATGTCTTATTAGTTCTGTCCTTTTAGAGAACCCTAACTAATATGGCATATAAACTTATCCTCTGTGAGGCCTGGATGTGAGAAGAATCCTTTGAGGGGAAAGTATGGCAGGAGGTGGGGACTTGTTCTAAGTCTAAAGAGAATGAAAGAAGACAGATGGTGAAACTTGCAAGATGATGGTAGGCAACAGGCTCAGTCATCTGACTCTTTACCAAGAAAGGCCAAATATTCAGTAAAGTTAAACTCAGGAAGTGCTGAGTGTGAGTTGTTGCTTTGTGGAAACTGATGAAGAAGTGGCATTTGCATTGGGATTGCTATCTCGAAACTGAATATGGAAGCAGAAAATGCACAATGAAGGAAGTCATGGAACTCATAAATCATTTGAAGAACTCTGAGCTCTCATAAGCATTAGGTATGGAATTACAGTGAGTTAGTTTATATGCACATATGCATTTATACATACATATGCATTCTTGATATTCATATGTCACTTCTTTCTATGGAAATTGCAATATTTGTAGGAAAAACTACATATGCTATTTTATGTCATGCTTCTTTTTACTTAACCACAAAATGTTCTAGAACAAAGAATTATAATTTACTATATATTCATTTTTATGGAAATAGATAAAACATTTAGTGAACATTTGGGACTAAGATTGCAATAAAACTATACCTAAGGATGGATTTAGGGAATATGAGCACAAAACTAATTCCCTCTTAGAATTCATAACTACTATGTTGAGCATCAAAGGGGTTTGCAGTTGGAATTTAAACTAAATGATATGCTCCAGAAATATCCTAACAACAAATTCAGACCTTTCCTCCACTCCCAGCCAAACTGATTACAGAGCAATAAAACTCAGAACACTGTGGAACGTAGGCCGGTTCTACAGGGACATGTCCTCAGCCCAGGCCTCTCAGTACTTCCACTTGAAAAAGCACTCTGAATCAGAGCTCACAGTTCAGAGTATTGAGTGTGATGGGCAAGAAGTAGTAGACACATGAATTAAAAGAACTAGAATGCCCAAGCTCCAGTTAATGACCATATTAACATACTGCCTATATACGACCAAGTATTTAAGCTTAAAAGCTTAAGGCAAAAGCACTCATGGAATTGGGAGAGTCCATAGATCATCAACAAAAGAGAAACTCTATAAGAAAGTATAACAATTATGATCTGATTTTTACCATACATACTAACTTAAATTATGTAAAGTAAAAAAATTTAAAACTCTATAAAGATGAAGATTAAAAAATAGTAATTGGCAAACTGAAATCAAAATAGAATGTTTTGGCAGACTTTAGTCAGTATTGGATATACAAAGAGCTCTCCTACAAAAAAAAAATAATAATTTGAAAAGAAGTTGTATTTTGTTACACTAATTTGAACACTGAACCATATTCTTTTCCTGCACACATAAACCTTTTATAAAATAGAATAAATATTATGTCCAAAGTAAACATCAGCCATATCATCATGAAAAAGTCATCATTTTATGAATGTAAGGCTTAATTAATGAATACTAAATTTCATTTTAATTAAAAATGTCATGGTAGACAATTTCAATATAAAATGAATGGAAATAGTTTTATATGTATTTCTTTATCAATATGTATTTTTTACTGCAAAATATATGCCAAATAATACTGGAAAGCTTAAAAATGATTTAATGAAATTCATTCAGAAGTTAGAATCAATATTTTTAATTAAATATTTCTTTTTAGAATCTTATATTCATGTGATTTGAATGATGACATCCATCATGTCTCATCTCCTTTACTTCTACCTTCCAGGTTTTCGTGTTATTATTACTTGTACATTGCTTGGGTTCATAGTATTAAAATTATTGTCTATAACTGCTGTCATTTAAAACATGCTTTTACTCTTTGTCAGTAATGTGATTGTCACTAGTGTCTATTCTGCTTCATTTTTATAATCTATTCATAGATTTATATTATGTAAGTTTGATGGTCTGCTTGTTTCACACAGTTCTGCAGTCTACTTTTTAAATTCATTCTTTTGATATATCACCTTATCTATAGTTCTTATGTAATTGATTTTTTAATATTATTAAATTATTCTGTAGCTTGAAACATTTGGGAAGAATATTCTCTCTTCCCTGAGTTATTTATCTTTTGAGGAAACATATTACCCCTTTTTACATACAATGTTTCCTTTACCCCCATCCTGCTCTTTGATATTTTCAAACTTGCATTATTATTTCTTATCTTGTTCACACAGAAGCAGCTCTGTTTGCAGGTTTTATTCACTCTGAAATTAATGCTGATTTAGTCTATTATCATTTAAATTTTTTTTTTATCATATGTTATTTTTTAGAGACAGAGTCTTTGTCACTCAGGCTGGAGTGCAGTGGTAGCTCATAACCTCAAATTCCTGGGCTCAAGGGATCTGGCTGCCTCACCTCCCTGAGTGGCTAGGAGTACAGGCATGTGTCACCAGGCCTGGCTATTTCGTTTAACTTTTTGTGCAGATGAGGTCTCACTATGTTGCCCACACCTAGTCTATTATTATTTATCCCAAACCATTTGCTCACTTCCTTTGCAATATAGCATAAGGCCAAGATATTTTGTCTTTTTTTTTTTTTTCACTTTTCTGTAACTTCAAAAAGTAGCAAGGAGTAGGAGTAACTCATCTTGCAGAGGAGCTGTCATTGGAAACCTGGGCTGCATTCTTTCCTTAAATTTATTACATGCTCAACATCAAGGTTCTCTCAACCCATAAATCTATAGGGTTTACACCATCATAATGTGGCAATACATCAAGGCTTTCCTCAATTCACTATGGTTAGATGCTGCTGCTGACGCGACCCAAACTGCAGAGGTAAACATGGGACCTAACTCTAAGTTAATTAGTACTTTCACTACTGTGAGTTTGGTTCAGAATCATTATGTTACACATTTGGACCAAATGCCAGTCAAGCTCAAAGAGTTTTTCCCCCATATATTGAGAGAAAGACATTTCCACCTTTTTAATTAATTTGGAGTGGCAAAGATGTAATCTAAAGCTGCTCACAGTCATCCACAGAGGAGAGCAGGGAAAATAGATGGAGAAATCTTTTTTGTGATATTGCTTGGGTTGTCCATGAACTTATAATTTTAGGTGTCAACATGTATTCTTTTTTGGCTATGTTAATTTGAATTAAATTTCAGTTAATTTTCCTAAAAACAGTACTAACCGATACAATTAGATTTTTTTTTTCCTGGATAACATACCCAGAGAGAAGACATTGGCATTATTTAAACCACAGAAAGACAATAGCAATCATTGTAAACATGGGTGCAGCATGAAAAGTTGATAGAAGAGTAGAAAGAATGGATGTGAAGACACGTTAGATGGTTACTATTTGAATCCAGGTAACATAGCAAGGTAATAACTTGAAGAAGCAGTTGTCAGCGAAGGTAGAGGAAATCTGTAGGAATTTAAAGATTTTTAAGTATTAAGGTAGCAAGTCTTTCTTTTTTTTTCTTCTTTTCTTTTTTTTTTTTTTGAGACAGGGTCTCACACTGTCGTCCAGGCTGGAGTGCAGTGGTGTGATCTTGGTTCCCTACAACCTCTGCCTCCCAGGTTCAAGTGATTTTCCTCTCTCAACCTCCTGAATAGCTGGGATTACAGGTGTTCGCCACCATGCCCAGTTAATTTTTTTTATTTTTAGTAGAGAGGGGGTTTCACTATCTTGGCCAGGCTGGTCTCAAACTCCTAACCTCAGGTGCTCCTCCCACCTCAGCCTCTGGGAGGCTGCACTCTGGAGTGCAGGGATTACAGGCGTGAGCCATGGTGCCCGGCCAAGGTACTAAGATCAGATGGTGGATTGAATGTAAGTAAGGGAGAAGAAGGTTAAAAATAATTCCAAATTTCTCTCTTTAGCAATTACGTAGATTGTACTGCCATTTACTAAAATGAGAAATGATGAGGAAATACTAGTTTTGAGAATTGTGTTCTGTGGTCTTCATAGATTTAATTTTTATATGAAACATAATCTGCCAACTTGATTTTAATGTCACTTCTACCTGTTCTGTTTATTGACCTAATGAACAAGCTTTGTTTCTATTCTATAACTATTAAATTTTCTATTTCCTTGTTGTCTTTGCTTTTTAAAAAATCATGCCTTATCTTCTCTTTATTTTTATTTCCCAAGGTTAACTATAATACCCTTGGGAGGAGAACCAAAAATGGTTGTCGAGAAGTGTGATGTGGGTATACAGGGAATGGTCATGGATAGGAGGAGCAGAGGGTTCCTCAAAATTGAGGACTGTAGAGATAGCTCAGCAAGACATTGATGTTATTTTGAATAAAAATTGTGCATTATAAACCCCCACCATTCCTGTTCAGCCAGGAGCCAACCAAAGCCCTAACACTTATGTATCTGTGAATACTGAGATTTTCCTGTAGACACAATGACTTTCTCTTGTGCCTGGTGACAGTTTGATCTTCAGTTGCATTTTGAAAACTTTAATTTGTGGTAATAAAACAAAAATGGCATAAAAAAGTATACTACTGAAATCAGAAATAAAAATTATGTCTTTAAAATTTATCTTAATTTATTGAAGAAAAATATTCAACCAGAAAGTAAAGCATATCTCTTTATCCTTAACATAATATGTATATCTTTTTGGGTCATCAAATTTATTAATTAAAACATAGAATACCAAATTATCCTTTTCCTAATAGTTTTTGGATATCTATCTGTTGTGTTCCCTAAATGCCCATTATAAAGAACAAAAGAGGAGAAAGTAAGATTCGGTCACATATAGTGTCTGCTATGTAAGTTATTTATGCTATTAAAAAAAAAAATCCCACACTTTGATTTGACTCACAGAATTTTCAAATCTATACCTCTGACTCTTATCAGATTTAAGCATTGGATATATTTATAAGAATTCTCAAAAAGACAGAAACAGAAACAGTACAATATATATTGACATACAGAAAGAAATTTATTATAAGGGACTGGCTCGTGCAATTAAAAAGACTAAGTCCCATGATTTGGCTGTCTGTGAGCTAGAGGCCCAGGAAACTCTGTGGTGAAGTTCCACTCCAAAAAAGAAGGCCTGACTGGGCACAGCAGTTCTTGCCTCCAATATCAGCGATTTGGGAATCTGAGGCAGGAGGATGGCTTGAGCCCAGGAATTCAAGACCAGCTTGGGCAACATAGGGAGACCCCATCTATACAAACAATAAAAGAATTAGCAAAGCATGGTGCTGCATGGTGCTGCCTGTAGTGTCAGCTACTTGGGAGGCTGAGGTGGGAGGATGGGAGGACCATTTGAGCCCTGGAGAGAGGTCAAGGCTGCAGTGAGCTATGATCATGCCACTGCACTCCAGCCTGGAAAACAAAGCAAGACCCTATCTCAAAAAAAAAGGAAAAAACGAAGTCAATGTTCTGAGTCTCAATTCTAGTCTAAAGTCTTGCAAAAAAGAAGCACTGGTGTCCTCTGAGAGCAGAAGACAAATGTTCCAGCTAAGGTGGCAGCATATTCACTTTTCCTCTGCCTTTTGTTCTACTGAGGCCCAGCTGCATTGGTGAGGTGGACTGTATTAGTCAGAGTTCTCTTAGAGGGACAGAACTAATAGTGTATATATACATACATACACACACACATATACACACACATATATATATACAAATGTAGACATATATATGTGTACATATATGTGTGTATATATGTCTATATATGTATATATGTGTGTATGTATGTATACATATGGCAGTTTATTAAGTATTAATTTACATGGTCATGAGGTCCCACAATAGGCCGTCTGCAAGCTGAGGAGCAAGGAGAGCCAGATCAAGTCCCAAAATTGAAGAACTTCGAGTCTGATGTTCCAGGGCAGGAAGCACCCAGCACAGGAGAAAGATGTAGGCTGGGAGGTTAGGCCCATCTCTCTTTTTCACATTTTTGTGCCTGCTTTATATTAGCTGGAAGCTGATTAGATTGTGCCCACCAGATTAAGGGTGGATCTGCCTTCCCCAGCCCACTGGCACAAATCTTAATCTCTTTTGGCAATACCCACACAGACACACCCAGGATTAATACTTTGTATCTTTCCATTCAATCAAGTTGAAACTCAGTATTAGCCATCACAAGTCCACCCCTTGTCAACTTGAACCCATACACATCTCCTGAGATCATACATAATCTTCAAATAAAGACAGTAATGAGGTCATTATTACACCTAACATAATACAACTATCTGTACAACCGGAAATGCACCAATCCCCAACCCAAATACTATTACATATAGTTAACAATCTTAAATGCTGATATAAAATCACTAAATCTTATGTTACGTAATAAAGGAAAAGGAAATAAAACACAGATATTTTCTTAGTACAAATATATATATATATGTATATATATATGTATATATATATATGTATATATATATGTATATATATATGTATATATATATACGTATATATATATGTATATATATATACGTATATATATATACGTATATATATATATGTATATATATATGCACAAACATGTTTTTAACAAAAGAATGAGGAAATACTCATGACAGATACCTCATTTCTGCACCTGGTCATGTGGTTGTAGGTGGTATTGATGACTATCTTCTTCTATTACCCATGCTGTATTCCCTTTGCCTTAAGCAAGCACCTCATCAGGTCATGGTTTTGTTTTAGCTGGTGGAATGACAAAACGCTTCATTCCTGAAGGTTCTGGGTCATTTGTAGTACTGCCTGGATTGGGCTGTTGTAGTTTCCCATTGACCTTAATCACAGGGCATGGTAATACTAAGAGACACCCCAATGGATCTCCTGTATTCTATGCATACTCTTCCTTACCTCCGTTGTGGAGTAGTAGACTGATTTCATCTTGATAGTCCAGGTCAGTCACCCCAGCTAACACTGTAACTCCCTTCTTAGCCTTTTGACTTAAAGGTAGGAGGAACCCAAAGTGTCCAGGTAGCAATCTTAATTTCCAGTTTAATGGAATCAATGTTGTGTCTCCTGGTGGCAGCATTCCTGCCTCTGGAATGAAGACCTCTAGGCCAGCAGAACGTAATGTCGTAGGAACAGGAAGCAAAAAATTTGCTGGTGGATTACTAGGGGTGATAGAGAGTGGTGCCACCTCCACTTCCACTCCTTGATTCCTGGACCCATGAATCCTAGCTATGGGAGAAACAGTACCATATATTGGCAGCTGAAGCATACATGGCCTTTGGGAGAACTTTGCACCAGCCGTGCAAAGTATTGCAACCTAGTTGGAGTTGTAATTGTGACTTCAAAAGACCATTCCACTGTTCCATCAATCCAGCTGCTTCAGGATGATGGGGAAAGTGGTAAGATCATTGAATTCCATGAGCATGAGCCCACTGCTGTACTTCTTTAGTCATAAAGTGAGTGCCTTGGTCAGAGGCAATGCTGTGTGGAATACTGTGATGGTGGATAAGGCATTCCATGAGTCCATGATGGTAGTCTTGGTGGAAACATTGCATGCAGGATAGGCCAACCCATATCTGGAGTTAGTGTCTATTCCAGTGAGGACAAACCTCTGCCCTTTCCCTGAGGGAAAGGGTGCAATATAATCAACCTGCCACCAGGTAGCTGGCTGATCACCCAGAGGAACGGTAACATATTGAGGGCTCAGCGTTGGTCTCTGCTGCTGGCAAATTGGGCACTCAGCAGTGGTTATAGCCAGGTCAGCCTTGGTGAGTCGAAGTCCATGTTGCTGAGCCCATGCGTAATCTCTATCCCTACCACCATGGTCACTTTGTTCATGAGTCCATTGGGCTATGACAGGTGGTGCTGGGGAAAGAGGCTGAGCGATGTCCACAGAATGGGTCATCCTACACACTTGATTATTAAAATTCTCCTTTGCTGAGGTCACCCGTTGGTGGGCACTCATGAAATACAAATATCTTCATGGTTTTTGACCACTCAGAGAGGTCCATCCACATACCTCTTCCCCAAATTTCTGTGTCATCAATTCTTTAATCATGCTTCTTCCAAGTCGCTGATCATCCAGCCAAACCACTGGCTACAGCCCATGAATCCTTATATAATCGCACATCTGGCCATTTCTCCTTCCATGCAAAATGCATAACCAGATGCACTGCTCAAAGTTCTGCCAACTGGGAAGATTTCCTTTCACTGCTGTTCTTCAGGGATGTCCTAGAAAGGGGCTGTAGTGCAGCTGCTGTCCACTTTCGGGTAGTGCCTGCATATTGTGCAGAATCATCTGTGAACCAGGTCTTAGTCTTCTCTTCCTCTGTCAACTGATCATAGGGAACTCCCCATAAGGCCACTGGTGCAGGCTCAGGGAGAGAAGGTAGGGTGGCAGGAATGGAGACCATGAGCATTTGAGCCACTTCCTCATGTAACTGACTTTTGCCTTCAGGACCTGCTCAAGTCCAATCATGTATATACCATTTCCATTTGATGATAGAATGCTGCTGTGCATGCCCCACTTCTGGTACTAAAATCTGTATTAGTCAGGGTTCTCTTAGAGGGACAGAACTAATAGGATATATACACACACACACACACACATATATATGTCATATATATGTATATATATACACATACTATATATAGTCATATATATGTGTGTATATATACACACATATACACACATATATAGTGGAGTTTAAGTACTTATGTAAATGCATATATAGAGGCAAGTTTAAGAATTAAGTATATATGTATATATAAACACTTATATGACATATATGTATATGTCATATATGTCATATATACACACATATATACACATATTGTTATATATGTGTATATATACATATATACACATATATAGGAGAGTTTATTAAGTATTATATATTTATATATATACACTCACATATATGGGGAGTTTGTTAAGTATTAAGTATCTATACACATATATACACACATATATATATATATACACATACATATATGTATATAGGCGAGTTTACTAAGTATTAATTTACAAGGTCATGAGGTCCCACAATAGGCTGGCCGCAAGCTGAGGAGCAAGGAGAGCCAGACAAAGTCCCAAAACTGAAGAACTTCTAGTCTGATGTTTCAGAGCAGGAAGCACCCAGCATGGGGGAAAAATGTAGCCTGGGAGTCCAGGCCCATCTTTCTTCTACACGTTTTTGTGCCTGCTTTGTATTAGCTGGAATCTGATTAGATTGTGCCCACCAGATTAAGGGGGGTCTGCCTTCTCCAGCCCAATGACTTAAATGTTAATCTCTCTTGGCAATACCCACACAGACATACTCAGGATTAATACTTTGTGTCCTTCAATCCAATCACGTTGGCACTCAGTATTAACCATCACACAGTGTACATATTCAAATGCTTGTATGTTCTGGAAACACCCTCACATATAGAGTCAGAAATAATGTTTTATCTGATATTTGGATACAACTACACAAAAATATTTTCTTTATATTTTTATTCTATTTTTCTATTTTTTAAATTTTTTAAACATTTCTATTAAAAACCAAGACAAAAACACACACATTAGCTTCGGTCTACACAAGGTCAGGATCTTCAATATCACCATCTTCCACCTCCACATCTTGTACCCCTAGAAGGTCATCAGGGGAAATAACAGGCATGAAGCTGTCATCTTCTGTGATAACAGCGCTTCTTCAGGAATACCTCTTGAAGTACCTGCCTGAGGCTGTTTTACAGTTACCTTTTTTTATAAGTAGAAAAGTACACTTGAAATAATGATTTCAAAAGTGTGGTATAGTCCATACAGAATCTCATTACAAAGTTATTTGCTACTGTACATAATTGTATGTGCTATACTTTTATATGTAGGACAGTAGTTTGTTTAGAGCAACATCACAAGTACGTGAGTAATGTGCCGAGCTCCGACGTTGCAAAAGCTATGGCATCATTAAGTGATAGAGATTTTTCAGTTTCATCATAATCTTATGGGACCACTATAATATATGAGGTCTATGGTTGACTGAAATGTCTTCAAGTGGCACATGACTGTACAGGTACAAGCATGGACATAGATAATAGATATAAATGTAAATATATGCATAGGTACAAATAGTGATATATCGATTCTGATGAAGTCTAAGATTAATTTTCTCATTTTATCACTAAAATCACTATCAATGTAGGTTTCTATGCTTTTGTATTATAAATGTCAAGTATAGCCTTTAAATTTTATTCATGTATTTATTCTCAACACATTTTATTAGTGGTGTTATCATTCATCACACAATAATATTACAGAAAATATACCAAGTGCAAAGCATCACAATAAATGTGATATTACTTAATATAAATGTGGCAACAGAGGTAAAGTGATATACATGGGAACATATTAGAACATTGCTAATGAAATAATGTAAGCCTTAGATTCATTATCTGTAAAATGGGGATTATTGTAATCTTACCTACCTTGCAGGATGGGTTTGAAGATTAAATAGGGTATTATATTTAATGTATCATCTGACACAGACTATGGACTCAATATATTATCCTAGTATTATAAACAATAATCCTCAGAGCAAACATTGGCATTCCTGGCATCCAAATGCATTAAATACATCATGGTTTCTCTCCTTGTCTAATTCCAAGCTCCTCTTCTCTGATAATTACCATTAATACACCAGATAGTGGCTTCGGCAGCTATTTCTCAATTTTACCCATAAAATAAATGTAGGAACAATTTAAAAGTAGAGACTTGTGCTACACCATAATGAACATTGTTGTTTGTTTGTTTCTCTCCTTTAAAGTGGAATACTATTCAAGATGGTCAGAGCTTGGGCTAGTATCACTTAATGCCAAGACGCAGAAGGAAGTCTTTGGAAACTTATCTGAGATCTTAAAACAGGTCTTTTTTTTGTTTTAATATTTGGTTCTTCAATACAACCTGAGAATCTTTTAGCTATTCCAGGATTTTCTCATTACAGTTATTGGTGTCTTTCTTATTGTTTCAGTTTTATTTATTCACTTATTTTATTTTTAAAATTTTTCCTTAAAACCAAAGGAAATTTAAATAGTAGAACTTATATTTGACAGAAGTTCATTACATTTCAATTTAAGTATGTTACGATTTTTATCCTTGGGTAACTTGGTGTCTATGTTAGTGGAGGAGGGAGGTTCAAAAACAATAAATGATGTAAGAGTTGAGAGTTCAACTCAGGTTATATTATATGATATAAAATAACACCGATGTGAAGAATGGGAGGTAAAACTTTAAAAAAAGTAAAATGTAGAAAACTTAAAGAAATTGAGGCATTGGCTGGATGTGGTGGCTCACACTTGTAATCCCAACACTTTGGGAGGCTGAGGTGGGCGGATCATGAGGTCCGGAGATCGAGACCATACTGGCTAATGTGGTGAAACCTGGTCTCTACTAAAAATACAAAAAAAATTAGCTGGGAATGTGGAAGGCGTCTGTAGTCCCAGCTACTCTGGAGGCTGAGGAAGGAGAATGGCATGAACCTGGGAGGCGGAGCTTGCAGTGAGCCGAGATCATGCCACTGCACTCCAGCCTGGGCAACAGAGCAAGACTCTTGTCTCAAAAAAAAAGAAAAAAGAAATTGAGGCATAATTAGAAAACAAATGATATTTTTAAAATTTATTGATAAAATGTATGTATAATTTTCTCCAGCATCATTCACTTGTCCAGAGAAAACTGCAGGATTTTTAATCAATCATATTAAAAGAAAATTATGAGTAAAAAACCATGAGTATGCATGTAAGGACATGATCAATGCTATGGAGGTATAAGGTCAGTTATGATGTGGATTGGAAGTGAGAAGACTAAATGTAAGGTCATTGTTTACATGAATCTTTACTCAAATGTATAGCATGTAAAACAGATGTGCTTAAAGTGCCAAAAAATAATTTACATAATTGTATGTGGATAAAATTAGATAACAAGATGTACTTAAGCATTATAATTATATAAAGCAAAATTAGTATAACAATTTTTCTTTTTTTGAGACAGAGTCTTGCTCTGTTGCCCAGGCTGTAGTGCAGTGGCACAATCTGGTCTCAATGCAACCTCTGCCTCCCAGGTTCAAGTGATTCTCCTCCCTCAGCCTCCCCAGTAGTTAGGACTACAAGCATGCACCACCACGCCCCAGCTCATTTTTGTACTTGTAGTAGAGACGGGGTTTCACCGTGTTGCCCAGGCTGTCCTCAAACTCCTGACCTCAAGTCCCCAAGTGAGCCACCCGCATCAGCCTCCCAAAGTGCCAGGATTGCAGGTGTGAGCTACCACGCCTGGCCATATTAGTATACCAGTTTTAAAGCCCATTCCTCCTATATTAGTATGGAATAAAGGCAAAAAAAAAAAAAAAAAAAACAAAAAACGATTCAGAAGTCCTTACAACAAAATCTGTAAATATTCAATGCTTGTTTTATATGTTAATTTTAGCAAAAGACAAATACAGTTAGAAGCCTCTATAATACTTAAAGTCTACAGGCTATTTTAACTTAAAATGTAAGATCTATTTATTGTGAAATTGGAAAAACAATAAAGGTTGCATTGGTAATCATTGCAAGATTGATAAAGAAATATGTAAGTACATAATTCTTCTCACACATAACATATTCCACACTGTACCCTATATGGGAAAACAATTAATAGAATATGGGATGTCTTATATTACTGTCTCTATGTATAGATAGAGAGAGAGAGAGAGGCTGAAGACAACTTCACATGGGTATGGGGGCCTTGGAATGAAGATCTAACTCTTTATAACCCATTATCACTATTACAGAAGGAATCAACATACTTAAATACCTACAAATACAATACAAAAGTATTACTTTTGATTAAAAAATAATTTTTATTTTCATTATGTACTACATAAATGTACTTTGTATTTAAACTCTGGAAAACCAAAATGTTTAACAATTTCAAAATGTGGCCAAAATGCAGAAGCTATAGGTAAATGATTAATATTACTGTGCAAAAAAATTCAAAATTTATCTGTGAAATAAAAACAAAAATTGCAGATAAATATGCAAGAACAAATAGTGTATATAGTTATTCTAATACTCAATAAGAAAAGACCGACAACTCAGTTTTTAAAAAGTAGGTAAAAGCTATGAAGAGGAATTTTACAAAAAATGTAAAATATATTAAAAAATAAGCATCTGAAAATATGCTGAATTAATTGGTAATTAAAAATATGAAAAAACAAAACACTGTAGCTGTATGGCAAGAATTAGAGACAGACTTGCATATGTTCTTTAAGGGAGTATAATTAAGGCAATATTTTGAAGGGCAATTTGACATGGATTACTTCTTACAGTGCACATTTTTTGCTTAATTTATTATAAGAATATTATTACAAAAGCATTCTCATTTGAAAGTGTGGAGATGTTCATTGCAGCATTGCATATAATACTAAAGTATCTGAAAGCAAATTAATTGCCCATCAATAGGACACATTTACATTAAAAATGAAATATTAATGGAAGGGAATATTTATTGGTATTACCCTAAATACAGAATAAGATCAATCTAAAGGTTATGATGTGCTTGGAGTTCCAAGGTATTATTGTTTTCATATTCCAAAGAGGAATGAGGTAGTAATAACTTACACCTCCATTAATGTCATTACATTTATTTTCTTTTATTCAGTTTTATTGAGGTATAATTGACAAATAAAAATTGTATGATATATTCCAAGTACACAACATGATGTTTTGATGTATGTATACATTGTGAAATGACTACTGCAATTAAGGTAATTAACGTAACCATTGCCTCACACAGTTACCTGTGTGTGTGTCTGTTTGTGCAGTGAGATCTACTCTCTAGCAAGAGAGTAATTTTCACAATAAAAATGAAAGTATTCTGTTCTCCTTTTTGACAAAAGTAAGACTTTGCATTGTATTTGTAGATATCAAAATATATTGATTCTTTCTCTAATAGCTATACAATTTGATTATGAAAGAGTTAGGGCCAGGTGCAGTGGCTCATGCTTGTAATCCCAGCATTCTGGGAGGCCGAGGCAGGTAGATCACCTGAGGCCTGGAGTTTGAGACCAGCCTGACCAACATGGAGAAATCCCGTCTCTACTAAAAATACAAAATTAGTTGTGTGTGGTGGCGCATGCCTGTAATCCCAGCTACTCAGGAGATTGAGGCAGGAGAATTGCTTGAACCTGGGAGGTGGAGGTTGTGTTGAACCAAGATCATGTCATTGCACTCCAGCCTGGGCAACAAGTGTGAAACTCCAAAAAAAAAAAGAAAGAAAGAGTAAGAGTTAGTTCTTCATTCCAAGGCCTCCATACCAAGTTATAACATTTGATTATAAAAATGTTAGATGTTTATTTCAAGGCCCCCCAATAAAATGTCTTTAAGCATTCAATTAATTAATCATTTAATTAAGATCAATTAATCTTTTGGTATATTTATTTTTGTCACATTTCAACAGAATCATACAAATACATACACACAAAGATTTTTGTTGTTGCTTTGCTGTGGTTTTGTTTTGTTTTGCTTTTCTCCAAGACAGAGTCTTGCTCTGTCATCCAGGCTAGAGTGCAGTGGCACGATCTCAGCTCACTGCAATCTCCACCTCCCGGGTTCAAGCAATTCTCCTGCCTCAGCCTCCTGAGTAGCTGGGATTGATTACAGGCACCCGCACCACGCCTGGCTAATTTTTGTAATTTTAGTAGGGAGGGGGATTCACCATGTTGTCGAGGCTGGTCTTGAACTCCTGACCTCGTGATCTGCCCGCCTCAGCCTCCCAAAGTGCTGGGATTACAGGTGTGAGCCACCATGCCCAGCCAGCTTTGCTGTGTTTTGTTTGGTTTTTTTCTTGTCATTATTACTCCTTGGTTGCCATACTATGAACTATAGTCACCGCACTGTACATGAGATCTTCAGAACTTATTCATCTTGTAAAGGTAAGTTTGTACATTTGACCTACATCTTCCAGTTTTCTCCACTCCTCTACTCCTGATAATCACCCTTCTCCTCTTAGTTTCTGTGAATTTAGCTTTTTTAGATTTCACATGTAAGTGAGATAATACAGGGTTTGTCTTTCTATGTATGACTTATTTCACAGAGCATAATGTCCTACAGGATCATCCATATTATTATCACAAATGGTAGGATTTTGTTTTTTTTAAGGCTGAATACTATCCATTGTGTGTGTACGTGTCTGTGTGTGTGTGTGTGTGTGTGTATTATATTTTCTTTATCCACGTATCCATCAATGAACACAGAAATGGAAGTGTCAGTACCCTAGTTAAAATAATGGTATGCTGTAATACCTGAATATTTGACTTACTGAAAAAAGGCAGGGTATTTATTTTATTTTTAAAATCCATTTTTAGACATATTTGGTTTTGGTGAAATGAGCAAAGTGGCATTGAGGAAAAAAATATATATATATACTTTTCATTCTCACTGCACTGATGCCATCAACTAATCTTTTGATACTAATATTTCTTTGTGTCACATTTCAACAGAATCATACAAATACGTACACACAAAGTTTTTTTGTTGTTGCTTTGTTGTGTTTTGTTTTGTTCTTGTCATTGTTACTTCTTGGTTGCCATATTCCTAAATCTGCAATATTGTAAGTGATGATAGGACTTTCCATTAAGTAATAGACTTGGATATTTAGCTCTGGTTTCCTATGGTTTGATCCTAATGTCAATAAGACATTATTTATTTAAGTAAAACATGTCTACATTTTAAATTAGAGGTACACTTCAGTAAATGGGGATTTTACTTGTCTAAAATGGTAATGTCAGAAGAAACTTGTTCTTGATTTGAATTCATCTAATAGGATAAACTCCTTTGTCATTCAGTGAGAGCTATCAGAATTTAAGATCATAGCCAGTAACAAGATGATCATTCTCAAAATGACTGCGTAGTTGTCAATATTCTTCTGAATTTTAAATTTGGAGAGAACCACATTATTTTGAGTAACAGTGAAATCAATTTGAAATAGGCAGAAGATATGGATCATTTAATCATTGTATCCAAAATAAACTAAAGGACAAAGGACGATAAGAGACAAAGTGCTCATGCAAAATTACTGTAATACTTGTTTAATATATGGTCCATGATGGTTAAATCTATGAATAATGAAGCATGAAGGAAAAGAATTATCAGGGTAAGCAATTTGCCAATTTGCATCATAAAACTACAAAAATGAAGGTTCTAATTTCCCAGTAATTTCTAAAATGTGTGAGGTCCAATAAGTCTTTTTAATTAAATTTGTCAAAATTCAATAAAGCTGGAAATGTAATGTCTAATGTGCGTTTTTAATGCAATGTTGAACCTAAGTTACTATAAATAATGAAGCAGAAGGAACCAGTCTTACATTATTTCATAATCTTACAGCGTTCTTTTATGCAATGTCTTTTTTTGCGGTAACATTATATAACCTCAGACATTATAGATAATGGTTGCAGAGTATATGCTAGGAAATATTGACATAGCTTAAAGAGTTTTGCTTCAAATTTTATTATAGTAAAAACAATTGTCCAGAAACCATCTTAATGATAGTTTTATTAGTTTTGAAAATTTTGAATAGTGGTTATTGTTTGTTGTCATAAAGCTAAAAATCAGGTTTCAGTTATGATTACCAGGTAAAATAGAGCTAAATGAGTATATGTGTGCACATCTGTGTGGATGTTTGTGCATGTGGATGCTATTTAACTTGACTTTCTAGATTTTCTATTCGTTTTTGTTTGTTTGTTTGTTTGTTTTGGAGACAGAATCTCACTCTGTCGCGCAGGCTGGAGTGCAGTGGTGCAATCTCAGCTCACTGCAACCTCCGCCTCCAGGGTTCAGCTGATATCTTCTGCCTCAGCCTCCCGAGTAGCTGGGGTTACAGGCGCCCACCACTATACCCAGCTAATTTTTGTATTTTTAGTAGAGACAGGGTTTCACCGTGTTAGCCGGGATGGTCTCGATCTCCTGACCAAGTGATCCACCTGTCTCGGCCTCCCAAAGTGCTGGGATTACAGGCATGAGACACCACTCCCAGCCTCCCCTCCATAGTTTTAAATTGTACACTTCTCAATCTCCGTTTACCATCTCCTCCTTTTAATACCTCAACTTCATCAATCTTTTGACTTCTGTTAAGTTCTTCAATCCATTTTATCCTATTATTTTCACTGTTTATTAACCCATGATGAGTACTCATACTTTACATTCCATGGTAAATCATTATAATCATATTATTACATATACATTAATCCCTTTGCTTCATTTTAGTTCTTCATACGTGTGTAGTAAAACCACTGTCTTTTTAAAATCCATTTTAAAAACAGGCAAGGATGACTTTGCCCATGGCTACTGCAATAGAAAAGAGTCTGTAGCTAGGTCTGAGTGCAACTCCACTGAACAAAAGGGTCTTGGAGTGTTTATGAGTGGAGTTGGGGGGCAGAGGTCATGGAGAACCTGTGTTTGCTAAAGGGCCTCACCTAAAGGAAAAGGAGACTTTCTCAACTCTTCAGGAAA